>NC_000010.11:52112792-52264307 GCF_000001405.40 Homo sapiens
GATTATCAAAGGCTCACCTGATAAGCTTGGAGTACAAAAAACATTCTTATGAAATTATGACTACGGTCGTCCAAGAAAACACTAAAAAATCTATCATTATAGGATTGTTGTGAGGATAAAATATGATAATTTATGCTGCAAGAAGTGTAATTTGTGGTACCTCGAGTAAGATTACCTGAATTTGCATCCATGCTGTGTGCCACTCATCAGCTTTATGGCCTTGGGGAAATTGCTTAACCTCTGTTTACTGAAGCTTCTTTATCTGTCAAAGTGAGAAAGCATAATAGTAACTAAATGATAGTGTTCTTTTGAAGATTCAGAGTTTGAATGTGCAAAGACCTATTACAGAAATTGGCACATGGTGATCACTCAGTACATATTACTTATTGTTTACTAAAATGTGCATAGTTGCTAATCTATTGTTAGCATGAAATAAAAGTTTGTTGCTAATCTCTAACATTGCTTTTATTAAACTATAAATTTCTTGACAGTAAAAATTATTCATTATGTATCATTGTATCTGTCTTAGTGTTTAATATGGCTTCTTACATATTTTAGACACAGTAAATGGATGAATGGATGGATGGATGGATAGATGAATGGATGGATGGATAAATAAAAAAAGAACAGAAGGGAGGGAGGGAAAGAGGGAGTGTAAGGGAAAGAAAATATCTGCTTTTCAAATGAATTTTGAATTAGGAAGGCAGATTTGGCTGCTTTGTTCGTAAAGAATATCAGCCTACAATCTTGGGGTAGATTGAAGAAAATAGCGCAGCAGATATCTGATGAAGTGGTGTAACTGACTGTGTCCTGTTCTACAGGTCACAATACTAGACAGCTGTGACTGTCTGGTAGTAATAGGAGATTTCTCAATTGTGTGATTAAGAGCAAAGATGGCAAATGATCATTGTAAGTCTCATGCTATAGCTGCACATAATTAAAATCACTAGGTACCTTAATTAAGATTATTAAGTGTTTCATTAAGAATTTAATTAGCAAGTTAGGTGCTTTATGATTTTTTAAAATCTATCAAATGGTATGATGTTTTATTAAGCTACAAATTGTATCTATTGAGCACTGTCTTGTGAGCCACTGTGAATGTAGTTTAGAGTCTGCAGAAGTTATTGTTAAATCGCTAAGTAATTAGCTTTAGTGTAGATTTTATTTTTGTTACTGCAGAGAAAATGTTAATTAAGCACTTGGGCTTGATTAGATCGTCTTTCTTCAGATACAGAAGCATAAAATCACAAGAATAGAAGGGAGTGGTAGAGGAGTGTTTTTTGCATAATAATGGACTTGGGGTTAGGTAAATGTGAGTTTATGTCTATGTTATTGCTCAGTTTAGGTGGTGAAGTCAAATATGACCTGTAGAACAATACCCTTTGATCACAGCCTCAGAAATATCAGAGACAGATATGTCTAAGGCTGGGGAGATAATATGATTAGTGGAAGGTACATGGATGTTGGGAACAAATGTAGGTTCAAATCTAGATCTGCCACTTTTTAGCTGTATGACTCCTGCCAGATCCTTGAATCTCTTTGAGCTTCAATTTCTTCGTCTATTGGGGGAGGGAAACTTTTCTGTCAAGAGACAGATAGTAGGTATTCTAGACTTTACATATCACATATGGTCTGTCACATATTTTAGTTCTTTTCGTTCTTTTTTTTTTCCTTTCAAACAATCCTTTAAAAATATGAGAATCATTTATGGCTTGAGAGCTTTATACAAACAGGCTGATTTGAGCTCACAGGCCTAATATGCTGAATATATATATATATGTTTTCACTTTTAAGCAGCAAATACCTAGCACAGAGAAGTGCACAATAATTGTTGGTTCTTCCAATCATCAATGAAGCTAAAACTTTTGCTCAATTGTGCAGAGATTTTCAAAATGACCCTATTTTGCTATCATATATGCTTCCTGATTATCAGCTATAAACTTAAAGTAACAATTTATGGCTCTTGCTACCTGCCTTCTCAGTGCTCCCAATAGAGTAGGTGCTCAATTAAGTATTATTTAATGATAGTAATGGGAATACATGGTGCACCAGCACGTCAGCATTCATAGAGAAGTGGCTGTGAATGGAGCATTGTAAAGGAAATAGGAAGCAGATGCAGTTGGTAGTGCAGGATCCAGAACATAAAAGGTAATGAAAGAAGTTTTCCAAATGTCTCATATCTGTCCATTACTGTCACGCACACGAAATATCATGGGTGTATCGAATAGAATAAATGATGAGAGCAAATGGGTGGTAGGAAAGGAAGATTTATTGGTAATACTAATATTGTTACTATTAACTTTATCTAAATAGTTCGCTTTTTACAATTATCTTAGAAGGATTTAGGGGTTTTTCTAGCAATTCACTTTAGTCTCTAAGGACAAAAAAAGAAAACAAAATAATAGACCCAAACAACATTGGCCATACATTATCTCCTGGTAATCCTGTTTTTTTTTAATTCATTCTTTCTCCCTTCTAGAGATTTTACATAGGTTTAACAATGTGTTAAAACAATTTGCTGAAATTTTAAAGGACATTTGTGTAGTCGATATAAAGCCATTTAGAATTTTTTCTGTCGCAAAGGTGATAGTCTTATTTCTCTCTCCTTGCCTATTTGGCCCTAGAGCTTCAGCCATTATAAATTTCCTGCTATTCCCTATACACAATACTTCTCATTTTATTTCACAGGCTGTTCCTGGTGACATGACCATCTCACTTTCTCTGTTGATTAACTTCTATATGCACATCAGTTCTTATCTAAGACATCACCTCTTCCCATGGCTTTCACTGATCCACTATCAACCCATTCCCCTTCCTCACTCCATCTCATAGTCAGGGTTGGGATATTCCCATGTGATTTGTTGTCACTGTGCTCACACCTTTAGCCTACTCTGATCACGCTGCATTATAATTGTCAAAAACTGTGTTACTTACTAGACTATAAACTCTTTGAGGGCAATGACTTTATCCTTTACCCTTCTGTATACCCAGCAACTTGGACTATCTGGCTCAGGGTGTATATTCAGAAACTTTATTTTTGGGTTTCCTGGTAAAATACAGGATACCTGGTTAAATTTGAATTTTAGATATTCAGAGAAAAACTTTAGATGAACTAAATTTAGCAGACTTTATTTGAGCAAGGAAATGATTCATGAATCAGGCAGCGCCCTGAACCAGTAGTCTCGGAGAGCTCCACTCAGCAATATAGACAGGAAGTATTTATAGACAGAAAAAAAAGAGGTGCCATGCAGAAATAACCTGATTGGTTACGGCACTGCCTTTTCCTTATTTGGACATGTTTTGGCAGTTTGCAGCCTGTGATTGGCTGAAAGCTCTGCTGCTATGATTGGCTAAGATTTGGCTACTAGTACAAAAATGTACTTTCAGTTAGAATGCAGTTTGTTTCCATATTAAGTTAGGTTACAGTTCATTATAGCTTTAGGCCAAATTTAAATTAACACAGATAAACAATGTATACGTGTTTAGTGTAACTACAAAGAACACACTTATACTAAACAAAAGTACTCATTATTTATCTGAAATTCAAATTAAATTGCATGCCCTGTATTTTTAGTTGCTAAATCTAGCAACCCTACTCTATTACATGAATGAATGAGCCGATGTTATTCTATTCTGTATTATAGTAAGAAATAATTTTCATTATTTTCTGTAGGTTTCAGACTAGAGATTAAGCCACAGTAGAAAATTTCACCAACGTGATCTGAAATCCTTGCTTGCACTTCGAAAGAATGTTTTTCTAATAACAACAGAGGGTCTTACTCACTGTGAAGAGATGACTGTTAATCCTTGAGAAACTTTCCAAATTAATAAAGCAGTGTGACACTCATGATGGTTTATCAACAGTAAACGGGAGTGAACAAGAATCTATTGGGATTAGACATGATGTAATAATAATGAAATAATAACACTGCCTAATGTTCATTGAGGGCTTCAGTATGTCAGACAGTGATCCAGGTTATTTTCGTGTATTTACTTTCTTATTCTTCCCAAAATTAGCCCTGTCAAATACCATTATTTTCCTCATTTTTTTTTTTAAAAGAAAACTGATAGGCAGAGAACTTAGGTATCTGACCCTAGGTCACACAGCTGATTAGTGGCACATTTGGTATTTTAAGCAATATAGAGTAACTCTTCAGCCTGCTTTTCTAACCACTATGTTCTACTCTCTCATTGTAAAGATATCCTGTGAGTTAATGTAGTGGTTAATGCACCTTATGTGATTAAATTCTGAATCATTATGAAGAGAAAATCTGTTTCCCAATTGCTAGTGGGAATATTAGAAAGAGAATCTCAAAGTAAGATTAAATATAGGTATTATTATATGCATGCATGGATATCTATGTGAAATATCTGTGTGTGTGTGTGTGTGTGTGTGTGTGTGTGTGTGTATGATTGGTAGCTTAATCTTTTAAGAGATCCAAAATGCCACTCTAAGAGTTATGAAGGGTGTTAAGATGTCCCTGCTGAAAAAATACCTTCCTTAGTTTATCATCCAGTTCCTATGATTGTTGCCAAAGAAACTGGGGCAAAAGGCAATGCTGTAAGTGACACTGGAGGATACTGTGTTAAACATGTTTTACTTGATCTACCTGCTAAACTGGTATCTCTTCAGTGTAATTACACTGGGCCAGCATAAATTACCTCTAGACCTGATAGCTGGGGATGGTTTTGGTGTGAGGGTTGAGGGATGACCCAAGAATGAACAGCAGCTAATAACCACACAGTCAACACACAGCCCTTCAGAAAGAGTAAGACCTCAGCAGCCTCTCTACTCGGAAATTACTTGTGAGAGTTAATTTCTATTATTTTGTATATCTTTTATTAAAAAATAGAATATTTATTTTATACATGTAATTCGAATATATAATATAAAATTTAAAAGCTACAATAATAACTATCCCTTCTTCCTCTGTCTTTTAATCACACATTCACTTCCTTGAATGTAATTATTTTTTCTAATGCATGCAGAAAAATACCATGCATTTTGTGTGTGTGTGCATATGTGTTTTACAAAAATGATAAAATACATACACATGGTTCTATACCATGGCCTTTTCACTTAAGGTAGGAGATTGTATACATATAGGGGTTTTTTAGTTATTTTCAATGGTTTTAAAATATTTCCTTTTATTATTGTACAAAAAATGTATTTTAATCAATACTACATTGATAGGTATTTAGGTTATTTCCAATCTTCCTATACACAACACTATAGTAATATGCTTTTAATGTTATTTCCCAAAAGTATAAGTACATATGTAAGATTAAAAATTACAAGAAAATACTTAAATAAATTATGCTGAATTGTCTCTACAAAGGTAATACTAGATTGTATTTATACTGGCATTATTTTCACATGCTTTTGCATTTCTCTTACTGTGTGTGAGATAGTTCATATTTTCTCTGTTTAAAGGATGTTTCTCTTTCCTTGTCTGTGAACTGACTGTTCATGTCTTTTTCTTACTTTTTAATCGGGGTATTCTTTATATTATTATCACCTTGCAGAAACTCTTTAGAATCAAATAAATTTAGCTTTTGGATATTTAGATATTTAAGCTATAAATACTTAAGGAAACTTTTAATGCATACATATCTACATAGAGAAATATTTAGGACAATTTCAATGTACATATATGTGTTTATATTTTATATATATACAATATTTTAAGACCTTTAAAATGCTTATACAGTGTATCTCTATGATAGGTGCTGAGCCAGTAAGGCAAGTTTAATATGTCACAATTTTTGGTAAAAATTGATATGTTTAATAATTCAAATGCCATGTTTGCTTTTTTTCCCTAAATTAATGCTATTTTAAGTTTTGACTGTATACAGAAGTTTGGCTTTTAGTACTTTTCATTTGAATTGGATATGAATTTCTTTTCTTTACAGTTGTTTCCTCTGCTTTTGAGTCACAGTTAATATTTAGTGTGAGTAAAATTATACCATGGTAGATGCACTAAATGATAAAGTCACTAAAAATTTTTGCTTAGCAAGCTAGCTCTTTATTCAGTTAAGATGAAATAGGAAATATGTGATGAGCATGTACCAAAAAACTTTTTTCCAATTTAACTTTATACTATAATTTTGCATATTTCTTTTCCTTAAAATAACTACTTAAAATCTCAATTTTAATTTTCATTTATGATATATGGTTTTATACACATTTATTACATTTTCTTGACTTTTTATTGTGAGAATCTATTATTTAAAGTGATCGTGCTTGATTTCTATGTGAAAATACATTTTAATCACCTATATAAAGTATTATTATGAAAATCTACATATTCCATAATACACTACTTATATTTTCAGACAGTAGATCACAATTACAGGCTTATAATTACTATTCTATCTAAAGAAGTATCCTTGGATTCAAGATGAATCATCTCAAGAGCATTGAAGACCATGATAATTAGAACTTTTAAAAAGTATCGACATGCATAAAATCCTAACAAACCACAGAGTAGAACAGTGCCATGATTTTGATCAACATTTCACATGTGAAAAATGAAATGGAGAATGAATCATTTTCTCAAGGTCATATACCAAGTTGGCAATAGAATAATAAAAAGGAGACACTCTCTCCTGACATGTTGTCTAGAATTCTGATGAGAGAACACAGTCCAGTTTTGAGGTATTTTAGGTAAAAATCCTTTGAAATATGTGACCATGCAACTTAACATTTTTCAAATTTGTATCAGTTGAGGTTTACTAGTTTATCAATCCAGTCATTCCAGTATGCCTTCTCTTACTCTACTTTCAAAATAGGAAAAAAAGTGAATAAATATTTTTCAGCCCTGTGAATGAAGAGTACCAAGAAAAATAAAGGAAAGACTAATGCATTACTTTACTCTCTAAAGTACTCATAACCCATGACACAACCTGTCTTGTCCTGTCTTGATCTGTTTTGTGCTGCTATAAGTGAATACCACAGACCAGGTATTTATAAAGAACAGGAATTTATTTTTTACAGTTGGAAGTTGAAAAGCCTAAGGTTGTGGCCCCATATCTTTTGAGAGCCTTTTTGCTGTGTTATCCAATGGCAGAAGGCAGAAGGTGGAAAGGGAAGAGAGCACAGGCATGAGAGAGAGACAGAGAAAGAGAGGGAAAGAGCGAGACAGAGAGACAGAGATAGACAGACAGAGACAGAGAGAGACAGAGAGGGAAAGTGAGACAGAGAGAGAGAGACAGAGAGAGAGAGACAGAGGCAGAGAGACAGAGAGAGGGAGACAGAGACAGAGAGAGAGAGAAAGAGGGAGAGAGACAAAGACAGAGAGAGAGCACACTGAACTTGCTTTTATAACAAACTCACTCCAGCAATAGCAAACTCACTCCCTCAGTAAGGACATTAATTCATTCATGAGGGCAGAACTCTCATGACCAAATCACCTCTTAAAGATCCCACCACTCAATACTGTTGCACTGGAGATTAAGCTGCCAACACATGAACTTTGGGGGATACATTCAAACCATCAAATTCTGTGCATGCCTCTCCAAATTTACATCCTTCTCACATTCAACATACATCCATTCCATCCCAATAGCCCCCAAAGTTTTAACTAGTTCAGCGTCAACTCAAAAGTCCGAATCCCAAAGTCTCATCTGAATCAGATATGGATGAGACTCAAGGCATGATTCATTTTGAGACAAATTCTCTCCAGCTGTGAGCCTATGAAATCAAGACAGGTTATCTATCTCCAAAATACAATGGTGGGGCAGGCATAAGATAGATATTTTCATTCCAAAAGGGAAAAATAGGCAAGAAGAAAGGGGTAACTGATCCCAAGTAAGCCCAAAACCCAGTGGGGCAAACAACATTAAATCTTCAGAACAATCTTCTTTGACTCCACGTTCCATCTTCTGTGCACACTGGGACAGGAGTTGGGCTCCCCAGACCTCAGGCAGCCCCGCCCCTGTGTCTTTGCTGGCTTTAGTCCGCCCTGTCAGTCTGTGCCTGAAACTTTCCAAGGCTTACGTTGCACTCTGGCGGCTCTACGGTTATGGCGTCACAGATGCAGCCCCACTCCTATGGCTCCACTAGGCATTGCCCTAGCAGTGGCTCTCTGTGGTGATTCTGCCTCTGTGACAAGTTTCTGCCTGGGCCCCAAGCTGTCCACGACATCTTGTGAAATCTTGGTGGAGGCTACCGTGGCCCCATAACTTGCAAACTATGTGCACTTTCAGAGTTAGTTATATGTGGACACTGCCAAGGCCCACTGCTTTTGCCCTCCAAAGTGGCAGACCAAGCAGCCCAAGCTGCACCTAGGCCCACTTAAGCCATATTTACTCCTGGGGTGGCCCAGGAGTGCTGCATTGGGATGAAGAAACAGAGGTGTCCTGCCCTGGAGGTGGTGTAGGACAACAAATCATGAGGCCTTTAGAGCATCTCTCTGGAAACCTTGCCTTCAAGGTCCTGCTCTGGGCCTGTGATTGGAGGGGCAGTCCTGAACATATCTGAAATGCCTAGATGATCTTTGTCCCATATTCTTGATGAATAGGATCTATCTTCCTTCCATCCATATTACTATTTTTAGCAAACAGTCGCTTGACCACACGGTTAGTATTCTCTCCCAAGCATGCTTTATTATTGTTTACATGGCCAGTCTGAGAGTTTTCCAAATCTTTCTATTCTGCTTCTGTTTTAATTATTAATTCCATCTTAAAATCATTTCTCTTCTCTCTAATTTTACTGTAAGCAGCTAAAAGAGGCCATGTAGCATCTGGAATCCTTTGCTGCTTAGCTATTTCTTCTGCCAGATATTTTAGTTCATCACTCTTAAATTTCATCTTTAATAAAGCCCTAGGGCGTGGACATAATTCAGCCAGGTTCTTTGCCACTTTATAATAAAGCTGACCTCTACTCCCGTTTCCAATACCTTATTCGTCATTTCTCTCTGAAACTTCATCAGAATTGCCTTTAGTGACCATATTTCTACCAACATTTTAATCATGACCAATTAAGTAATCTCTAAGAAGATTTAGTTTCTCCCTACAGCTCCTGTCTTCTGAGCCCTCACCAGAATTTCCCTTAACACTCTGTTCACAGCAGTCTCGATTTTTTTCCTGGGCTGCTGCTTGAAATTCTTTCAGCTTTTAGTCATTATTCCATTCCAAAGCTACTTCCACGTTTTCAGATATTTGTTTTAGCAATAGCCCAACTCCTTGGTACCAATTTCCTATTTTAAGCTATTTTGTGCAGCTATAACAGAATACCCGAAGTTGGGGAAACTGTAAAGAACAGAGATTAACTTGTTATACTTTGAGACACTGGGATGTCCAAGGTTGAGGGGCTCACATCTGGTGAGGGTCTTCTTGATGCATCATTCCATGGTGGAAGGCAAAACATAGAAGGGCAAGAAAGCGTGTGCACACGTGCAAGAGAGTGCAAGAGGGAGCCAAACGCACTTTTATTACAAACTCACACTTTCAATAGCATACTCACTCCTGACATAATGACATTAATCCATTCATGAGGGCAAAGCCCTAATTGACCTAATTACCTCTTAATGGTCCCTCTTCTCAACACTGTTGCATTAGTGATTAAGTTTCCAAGACATAAATTCTGGGGGATACGTTCAAACCATAACACACCTATCGAATAATTATTCTATTTATATCTTCTACTCAAATTCAAACTTATCTTTCACCTATTACCTTACAAAATTACATGTATCAATGTCTGAAAACCACCAGATTTATGTTAATTCATATTATTTTATAAAATATGGCTCAGAGAAGAAGAATAGATATAAGAGGAATCTACTAATAAAATAATAACAAAGAACAATAAGCTCATCCTTCTATCTGTAAATTCTCCCTGGGGTGACATTCTTTAAATTTGTAAGGCTTTGCCAAAGAGTTTAATATTTGAAGCAAAAGTACAGAGTAAATACCATTTGTACCCTAACAAGAAAGAAACTAGGATTCAGAATTCTTCAGAATGTCTTATGCCAGCTATAATGGAATGTAAAGAATATTATCTGTAATGACTAGATAGAAAGAACAAAAGCCACCAGTCACGTTTTAACATTTAGGGGAATGAATTCATTCAAATGTGGAATATGGAAGATGTACAGGTTACTGTCGATTCTCAGTTCCACTGATAACACAAAGGAAACACAACAGAAAAAAATAGCAATATATATCCCACTGCAATTACTTTTTCTTCCCCTTTCTCTTTCATTAATTCTGTATATTAGGTTGAACCATAGAAAATTGTCAATATTTGGCTGTTTTTAACCTGCACAAACAATTTTATTTGGCTCAGTCTAATAAATGGCTACATTCTTTGTCACTGAAGAATGCCATAGAAAGTGAAGTTTGTATGTCAGATAAAAAATTCATTATGCTATCAACCCAGCAGAAGTAATGAAAAAAATGTGAAAATTGAATTCTTCCAACTTCTTCATTCTCTATTTAGTTATTGTGTTCTCCCGTGGATATAGATCGAAGAGGATATGCAGTCTCTCAGGAAGTGAATTCATATAATGAATGGAAATATCCAATCACATGACCAGGAAGAATAAACCTTGGAGTTGGTTTTTGGACAGCACTTATAATTTTTCTGCCTAGAGAATCAGTCTCTTTTGGGTCATGTTACGAGTCCATATTATTGATAAGAAACCAGAGACTGCCTTGGGTAAACTCCAGAAAGAGGATCTGCTTTAAACTCAAGTCTATGTTTATCATAAGTTGATATATATTCTTAATAATACATTGACCTTTATGCATTTTTCATTGCTCCTTTATTTTACATTGTAGGATTTTTAAGGACAGAGATCATATTTTCTGTTTAGAAGAAATTGTTCTGTAATATATGAATTCCTTATAAATGGCTGTAGCAATAACATTTACTTCAATATGTGAAAAGGCCATCAGTATAGGTACTCCAAAATTACTAATTCAATTTTCTTAAAACTTCATTCTATCATGGCTACAAATTGTTTCCTCTACTTGAGTTTAAGCTCTCTAACTAATTTTAGAGATTTTAGTTAACATGGTAAAGGAAAAGAAAGTGAATCTTAAAAAAAAAATAAATCCTTAGAACTACCTCCAGACACTGAATGATGTGGCCCTGTTTTCTTCTCTGTGTTCTATGGTCTCTGCCTTCTTTTCTTTTACTCAATCTCTGAATTCCAACTTTGCTTATGTTACAATAAGCTCTTTCCTAATTCAAGCTATTGTATATGTTCTATATGTTGTGACAGTTGATCTGATAACTGAGATGGCTACTAAGTGGCTAATGGGTGAGGAGCATCTACAGCATGGACACACTGGACAAAGGGAGGGGTTAAGTCCATGGTGTGAGGAAGCAGGACAGAGTAAGACTTAATTAAGCTACTTAGAATGGTGTGCAATTTAAATGGTGTTATTTAAGGATAGGGACATATTCTGAGAAATGCATCTTTAGGCAGTTTCATTATGCTAGCATCGTAGAGTCTACTCACACAAACCTAGGTTGTATAGCCTACTACATACCTAAGCTCCATGGTATAGCCTATTGCTCCTAGGCTAGAAACCTGTACAGCATGTGACTGTACTGAATACTGCAGGCAGTTGTAACAGTAGTATTTGTGTATCTAAATATATCTAAACATAGAAAAGGTAAAGCAAAAATATACCATGAAAGATTAAAAATGGTACACCCAAATAGGGCACTTACCATGAATGAATCTTGCAGGACTATAAGTTGCTGTGGGTGAGTCAATGAGTGAGTGATGAGTGAATGTGAAGACCTAGGAAATTACTGTACACCACTGTAGACACTAGAAACACTGGACACTTAGTCTACACCAAATTTATAAGAATAGTTTTCTTTCTTCAATAATAAATTAACTTTAGCTTATTGTAATTTTTTACTTTATAAACTTTTTAATTTCTTTTCTAATAATTTCTAAAATACAAACAATTCATACAGCTGTATAGAAATAGTTTCTTCTTTACATATTCTATAAGATTTTTTCTATTTTTAATTTATTGTATTTTTTACTTTTCGAAGTTTTTTTGTTAAAAATGAAGACACAAACATTCACAGTAGTGTAGGTCTACACAGGGTTGAGATCATCAATATCACTGTCTTCCACCTCTACGTCTTGTCCCCTTGGAAGGTCTTCAGGGGCAATAACACACATGGAGCTGTTATCTTCTATAACAATGCCTTTTTCTGGAATACCTCCTGAAAGACTAGCCTGAGGCTCTTTTATATTAAGCCCTTTTCTTTTTTTTAGTAAGTAGGAGTACACTCTAAAATAACAATAAAAAGCATAATGTAGTAAATACTTAAACTAGTAACACAGTCATTTATTATCATTATCAAGTACTATGCAAGGTACATAATCATATGTGCTATACTTACATATAATTGGCAGCACAGTAGGTTTGTTTAGGGCTATGATATTACTAGATGAAAGGAGTCTTTCAGCTCCATTAGAATCATGGGACTATTGTTGCATATGTGGTCTGTTTGTTGACCAAAATGTCATTGTGTGGTGCATGACTATGCATGCTTCCTGTAACACATTTCTCCTGACTGTTTATCTTAAGGACCCAAACTCCACCGTTGGGTCTTAATTTCTAATGTCCTTACAAAAGTTGTCTGTCCTAATTGCTGAATGAGATCCTCCCTATTAGTTATCTGATTGCATGCTATTTGATCAATGTTTCCATTAGAGTAGCCCTCACTTATCTGCAGGGAATATATATCCCAAGACCTCCAGTGGATACCAGAAACAGATGATCATATGGAACCCGATTGCCCTCAATTGGAACACGTTTCTGTTTGTGTCTTCCACCCACAAATGTAATGCCTTTCCTATCTTAACTAAGCACTTAACATGCACTGTGGCCATAACTTTTGCAGTTTGAATGCAACAGCAAAACTAACACAAATGTATTTTTCCTTCTTCACAATTTCACAGATAGAAGATATGTTTTCATCATAGATCTTAGCAACCTCACCATATGACCTTTTTTTCTTTCTTATCAAGTCAATAACTTTCACCTTTCATGAAAGAAGCACTTTAAGGCTTTTCTTTGGCATATCAGAATTGCCAGCATCACTACTCTTGCACTTTGGGACAGTGATGTGACAGTTGATCTGGTAACTGAGATTGCTACTAAGTGGCTAATGGTTGGGGAGCATATACAGCATGGACACACTGGAGAAAGGTAAGATTCAAGTCCACGGTGTGAGGAAGCACGACAGAGTAAGGCTTAATTAAGCTACTTAGAATGGTGTGCAATTTAAAACGTATGACTTGTTTCTGGAATTTTCCATTTAATATTTTTGGACTGAAGTTGACTGCAGGTACCTGAAGCCTAGGGTAACTGAGTGAAACTGTGGATAATGGTGAGGGGAGGTGGTGGTGGGGCAGGGGAGGGCTACTGGGTATGTTTGTGTACTAATTTGATATCTGTCTCCACTAGACTGCAAGGTCAGGCATACAAAATATATTAACCTTTGGCAAATATTTGTTAAAATAATTGCTGGTTTATTATTATTATATTCATGGGACATATAAGTACTTCATAATAAAGGTGGATTTTCTAATTTAATAAATAAAAAGAGATAAGAAGAATAAAGGGTTTGTAAGGCTATTCACCAAGATGTTAATCTTAGTTATCTCCTGGTAGATGGTGTTACAGTACTTTTTATTTTCCCCCTTTTTTTGTAATTAATATGCAAAAATACTTCTTTTTCTTTCTTTCTTTGTAGAGTTGGGGTGTTGCTACATTGCCCAGGCTGGTCTCAGACTCTTGGGCTCAAGTGATCTTCCTGCCTCAGCCTTTCATGTAGTTGGGATTACAAGTGTGTGCCGCCAAACACAGCTCTGTAGAAATATTTCTTATGTGTAAAAATTGTTCTTATCCTTTAAAAATGCTACTGAAGGATAATGGAAGTTTTATGGATGAACTGAAATAGAAGGTTCTTAGAAGAGTCAGCTGCATGTGCACAGGCATGGACAGAATTTACAGTGGTCATATTTTGAGGAAACAGTTATCTGTCACCAGTGCAGCAGAGGGTCGTCAGTATAGTGCCTGGAAAGGTGATAGATCAGACAGTTGGAGGACCTCTAACTATACATGAAAACATTGAAACATTGACATTTTTCTTGTTTTCTTTAAAAGTTCTTGTGCAAAGAGTTGACATGACTAGATTTACATTTGAAAATGTATGGCAGAGTGAGATAAGGATTAGAAGGGGGAGAGAGTAGAGGCGAGGGGATCACTTAGGAGGCCAGATCAGTGGTGCAGGGCAGAGATAGTGGTGGCCCACAGTAGATCCATACCTGTGGGAATGTGAAGGAAGGATGAATATGAGAGATAGACAGAGATAGAACCAATATGACCAAATATACACAAGAGAGATGGGGAAGAGTTAAAAAATGAATCCAATCTTTTGAGCCTAGGTGAGTGCAATAATGCTGATGCCATTTACCATGATAGGGAACCCAAGGAAAACAGTGGTTTTGAGGTTAGGAGAAAATGAGTTAGGTTTGAATCGCAGGTTGCAATGGGACTTCCAGATAGAAGTATGTAGCAGGAGAGAGGTAAAAGTTAGAAATGAAGATTTGCAAGTCACTCATGTAAAACTAATAGTTGACGTCATAGTGTTATGTGAGTTTTCCTCAATGAGAGAAAGCAGGGCTAGCAAAAAGAAAGCCCAAAACAGAATTTTGGGAAAACACCTATCATCTATGGGCTAGGGATGAAATGTCAACAAAACAAATTGAGAAGGTGGTGTCAGAAAATAATTGGGAGATTAATTTATTATATAGAAACTTAGGGAAGGGGACTACTAGAGACAAAGTATATAAAAAGGGGTCACATGCTTCCCCATGTCAGAGGGTCCTAAAGTGATGATGATCGTGATGATGACCATGATCATGATGATTGTCACTAACATTTATTGGTTGATTACTCTGTGCAAGCATGATTAGAAGGTATATAATTATTTGCATGTATTAGCTGATTGTTCACTTAGGTTGTGGGTTTTATTACAGTGTTGGAGGCATAAATCATGGTGGAAGAGCTTCAGGACTTAGTGGAAAGTGGAATTAGTGATTGACCTGATATGACTTTTCCTTAAAGCACATTTATCTGCCAAGGGATCCAATTTTCAAAAAAGCATAGTCAGATTTACCACCAACTCTACAATTCTTGTTTATAATTAATTTATTTCATTTTTTGTGGTTCTTTGATGCTTGTCATTTCCTATCAATTTTGATTATCCTACCCCTTGTAGTAAGATTGCTTTTGATTTTGAGATGAAAAGAATTTGCTTTGTGCTGTGTGAACTAAACTTAACTGGGGACATTAAACTGCTGCACATGACAGAGAGTAAAGAGCTCTGACCCCGGGATTGCTGTAAGCTCATAAGCAACTGGAGTAGTGTCGAGTTTCCATGAAGGCTGGCACTGAGAGAGTGCTGGGACTCTGTGGACAGCAGTCATGTTGCTCCAGAGCTGAAAAGGGAGAGCCCCTACTCTGACAGCTACTTTGTATCAACTATGTTCTGCTTTGGCCTCATACATTCTGTGTTTGTTCCCCTGAGGTATCAATGAACGCTAGAGTTCTCTCATAGCCATGAGACACAAGAGAATTGGTTTAGAACCAGAAGAGCCGATGTAAATTCCCTGTATGGATTATTCAGATACTGACAGTGACGCCACTTTGGGATACAGCGATGATGAAGATTCCAGTGACGAAGTTCAAAGAATATCAGAGTCAGTGCACGGAAACCTATATTTGCAAATATTTTGGGATATTTTTCATGCTCTATTGTTTCACTGAAAGGAATTTCTAACACATCTGAAAATGTTAGAAGTGGCTTAAAAAGAGGCCACTACTAAACTGCATAGCTTTGATTGTAATTACTAATTAATCAGCAGCAATTTTGTAAAAATACCTGTTAATCTGCCAAACAGTAGCTACTTTTGCAGTAGTGCTTTTTAAAGTATTTATTAACTGCACACCGAAATCAACTAATACAGAGGCACAGAACTAGATAAGCGTGAGATTTTATTTTTAGAGACAATTTGCATGTTGGATGTGGACTGTTATGTGGCTAGATATACATTTATTTATTATAAAAAAGCAAGTCTAGTGTGCTGAATGTTCAGAGGTAATGTGTGTTTGGTAAAAGTTTTTAATTAAATAAATTGAACATTATAACCCTAGTTATAAAGTTCTCTTGTGTTCAATATTTTACCAAAATGTCTTGTATTCTTCTATTAGAAATTATTAAATACCCTGATCTGTAAAAAAGTACAAATGAAAGTAAGTTCAGTTTTTAAAAAATAATGCTTTTCTCCTCTCTTTCCTTGTCCTGCTTCTAAACCGCTCTGACGTGAAATGCCCGCTAACTTGGTAGATGTTCTGTGTGAAACCAGTATCATAACATCTACTGATAAAAATACATTTAATAACCCAGATTTATTAAGACCTTTGTATTATATGAATATGTAATATTACATCTTTAAATTCAAATGATATTTGCTTTACCATGGTCCTTGGACCCATAAAAGATATAAACATACATAGTAAATCACAGTGTTGTCAGCTTCTATCATTGACATTCTCTCTTTAGAAGTTAGAAATTTCTACTATCACTCCTAAAATGAGAGATTAATACATGTCATATACTAATGTCAAGGATTAATATATATGTTAATACTAAATCAGATAGTATTTTGTCTCTATCTCTAGCAGGCTTTGAGTGCACAAGAACAGAATTTACAGACACCCTCTTAGAGAGCTACAAGCACCTTAATAATAGAAATAAAATGACACCGTCATGGCAACATGAGTTTGCCATTGAATGAGCTTGGCGATGAATAATTCTCTATTGTTAGGCAACATTATTACAAAGCAATATAGCAGGCTAGGACATAGCTATGGATGGGAATTCTAACAATTTTAAAATGAAAATGACCCTTTCATATTAGTTTTACAATTGGAAACCCATAACTCTATTAGTGCTGGTTCTATTAACAAGTAAATATAATTTTCATAATGATGGACAGTGAATACTTACTGCTCAAAGGTTATTCAACATTTTAATGAATGTTGAGTTTAAATCTGATAGCAAAGCATATAAGCAGCCTACTGTTGTGGAAAGAACATGACTTTAGGGACAGCCAGATCTGTGTTCAAATTCCAGAACTGTAACTCACTAGCTATATCTGACTTTGGGTGCATTCCCTAACCTCTATTCTCAGAGCACCACCCTTTGTTATGTGCAACAAATGATATTTGTATGAAGTGTTTAATGTTGTTCCCGACATGTACTATATGCTCAATAAATGGCAAATATTATAATTTATTGTTTAATATGTTGGTTTTTCCCCCCAATGTGATGCTTCTTTCCAGTTTTAATATATGTCACTTTACTAGGTACTACACCTGGCTTTAGGCCATACTTGTTTTCCTTTTTAAAATAAAATTTTCTATTTCTGTTAACTATGTCACTCTTCTGATCTTTGATATTTTCCCCAATCTACATTTAAAAATACCAATGCATCTTCTTTTTGTTGCATGGAAATTGCATTCAACTTTAAAAGTATATCCAATTTAGGCCAGATAATATGACAAAATTCTGAAATATTGTAGATTTGTGATGAATACATTTTTAAAAATCTATATGCACAGAAGATATCTTCAAAATGAAGCACTATTTTGTATTTATTATATTTTTAAAGGATGTGGGCACTTTCTTAATAGTCAAATGGAAATATATTTCAGGAAAAGCTAAATTTAGTATTATATTTTCTATTTTGTGATGGTAGTTTGTTTATTATTGTTATTCATTTATTTGTTTTTGGCTGGCAGCAATTGATAGTAACTTATGCTGCCATGAACAACTAAGAAATAAGTCATTCACATAATTTATGAAGAACCCAATGAGCACTACAGAAGTTTCCTGCCCATTATGTTCATTTCACCAAAAATTCCCACTATGAAAGTGATAACGAATTGAAAATACATTGCTTACATCTATGGAGCAGAAAGAAAATCCCCACTGTGTTTCTGAATAGGAGTGTTTTATAAAACACCAGATAGAGCCTCCACAGAGACAACCATGAAGGTGTTGGGGATGAAAAGAATTAGAAATAATAAACAACAGAACACAGTTCAGCTGGGCCAGGCACTATGTTAAACTTACGTTTGATTATCTCACTTAATACCACATAGTGAGTGGCTACTCGTATTCCCATTTTACAGATGAGGAAATTGAGGCTTTCACTTGTGAATGGAGGGAATGGAGGTGGGTTTAACACCAGAATAGTGCAACTCCAAACCCTGAGCTCTGCCTTCCTACCCCAGGGTTCAGAAGTATGATGGATGTCTGTGCCATAACTGCTTTAAACACTAAGCATGTTGTATGTGTGAGGCATTTGGGATGAAACGGGGAGCAAAGCCAGCTATGGTCCCGGCCCTCATAGGGTTTAGTGGAAGGAAGACAGAGTTATTAAACAAATGACTACATAAATACACGTATTAATATAAATTACAAATGGTGATACATGCTTGGATGGAGAGGTATGTAGGGCTACGAGAACAGATGCATAGGAAACCCAACCTGGTCAATTCATGATGGCATCCCTGAAGAAGAGGTACGTAGGCTGGGATTGAAGAGATAAGAAGGGGTGAACTAAGCAAAAGTTAGAGAGGAACTTCCTAGGCCTATGGAAAGCATGTTAAGAACTCGTGGCAGGAGGGCGATGATGTGTATTAAAAGGAGGCCAGTGGCTGGGCGCGGTGGCTCACACTTGTAATCTCAGCACTTTGGGAGGCTGAGGCGGGTGGATCCCCTGAGGTCAGGAGTTCGAGACCAGCCTGGCTAACATGGTGAAACCCCATCTCTGCTAAAAATACAAAAATTAGCCAGGCGTGGTGGTGGACTCCTGTAATCCTAGCTACTTTGAACCTGGGAGACGGAGGTTGCAGTGAGCCGAGTGCTACTGCACTCCAGCGTGGGCAACAAGAGCGAAACTCCATCAAAAAAAAAAAAAAAAAAAAAAAAAAAAAAGAGGCCAGTTTGGCCAAAAGGCAGGGAATGTGAGGGAGACACTGGGAGGATTGTGCTGGGAGTTAACGAGACTATAACAAAAATTTTAGAGTTAAGATGATGTAGTATGGTGGGTGGATTAAAATATGTACAATAATTGATGGCTTTTTTAAAAAACAGGGCAACCAGTGAGAAACAAATGAAAAGGAAAGTTACTCATAAGAAAAACATAATATGCAACATATAGGAATACATTTTTTAAATATCGGGACCCAAGTGAAAGAAATTATGAAATTGTATTTAAAGATATGAAATTATATCTGAACAAGTAGAAAGTCATGCCATGTTCTTATATGGAAAAAGTAATATCATCAGAAATTCCTTGCTTTGATATCAATGAATAAATATTAATATAATACAACTCTACTAGAATCCCAAGGTGGGTGTTTCAGAAGTGGAAGATTATTTTAAAGTCTATATGAAATAATAAATGCTTAAGAATATCATCAAGGAATTTCTCAAAAATAATAAATGCTTAAGAATATCATTAAGCTATTTCTGAAAAAAGGATTTTAGTAAGGGAGAACATGCTTTGCCAAATATTAAATACAAATAGTTAATTTAAAGCGATTGTAATCTAAACAGCATGGTATAGCAACAGTGAAAGACACAGAGATCAGTGAAAAATAGAGTTCGGAAATATATTTCAGAATGTAATGTGTTTCAAAAGTATAAAAAGTCACTGGGAACATCTTTATTCTCAAAACTTTAAGAGCCTGTTATTAGAGATGTGATGTTTTTTGGTTTATAGACTGTATTATTAATGCTATATCATTTCATATGTACCTATCTCTTTAATATATTTCAAACATATTAATTATTAATTAACTTAGAAATTTTATTGTTTTTGGAAAAAGTAAATTTTCAAGTATAGCTTATTTTGTAATTTTTAAATTATTTTTAAAAATTCTCATGGGTACATAGTAAGTGTACATTTTTATGTGTACTTAGGTGTACATAGTAGGGAGTACATGAGATGTTTTGATACAGGCATGCAATGTAAAATAAGCACACTGTGGAGAACGGGGTATCCACCCCCTCAAGTATTTATCCTTTGAGTTACAAATAATTCAATTACATTAAGTTATTTAAAAATATACAATTGTGTTATTATTGACTATCGTCATCATATTGTACTATCAAATAGTTAAGTCTTAGTCATTCTTTCTATTTTTTTGTACCCGTTAACCATGTTACCATGATACTGATACTATTAATTTTTAACTAGCTGAAAATGAATTGTGAATGTTAATTTATCAAATCCACCTTTAACTACTGGATCAAACATAAGATACCAGGATAGATTTTCAAAGGTTTAAGAGATTGATAGATACGAATGCAGTAACAAATTAAATGCTTCTAAAGAGACAATATTTACATGTTTCTATCAGTGTGACTTAAGATTTGTCAAATGCTCTTGAAGAACCATAACTTCTGATATAGATGAATGACTATGTGCCATAAATTGCCAAAACATTAGCTACATAAAAACAGGGTCTTTAAAGTAAGGAAATAATTTAAACAGATCAATTGTTCTCAAGGATATAATGATAAATTCATATACAAATGGATCAGATACTCAGTTTCTAGAAGTATAGCTTCAAATTCTTTAAAAACTTTTGCATATTTATGTTTGTTACTATCTTGATCATTATCCAACTATTTTATTAATTTCCCCAAAGGGAATGATATCAAATTTGTTCTACTTGGGTGAATGAAATTTCAAATTTGAAAATTGCAACTACTGGATTGTAACTGTAGGATTTGTATGATTAATGACAAGGGTAAGATGATTCCTCAAAAAAAATTTTGAAACATAAACAAAGCTTAAGCCTGGAGGTGGATAAATCAGAAGAGTTTATATAATGTAAATTTTTTCCTGAATTAATCACAATGGACACTGTGCTTTGATATTAAAGGTTATTTTATTTGAATGTCTCTATTTTTCACATAGGGAAGATGTGAGAACAGCAAACGTAATTGCTGCAGAAGCTGTAACCTGCCTTGTGATTGACAGAGAGTAAGTACATTGTTTTATTATGTGAATTACACACTCATATCAGCAACACACATGAGTTCTTGGAATTAGACATCATTTTATGGAGCTATTAATACTTGTTTTATATCTTTTCATTTTTAAATGAATTCTGTATTTGTTTCTCATTCCCTATTCTTAAAAGTGGCTGGCTCTGCCATTCTAGCTTTGTGATCTTTAACAAGGTACTTAACCACTGTGAGCTTCGGCTCAGCTCATTTGTAAACTGAGGTAATGAAATATCATACAGATATTTTGAGGATTAATGAGAACATTTGAGTAAAGCATTTGTCCAAGTGTCTTTTACTCAGGAGGTACTCAACCAATGCTAGTTATTTTTGTAAATTTTTAGAATTATTATTCCATTTTTGTTAAGAAATGGGTTATTTTTTTAGTAGTTTTAGTTATGCCCTCTATTCTCCTATCTCCAGACTTCCATAATAGAAGCATTTAGGGAAGAAACTTTTGAAGAAATAATCAGTTCTAGACATAGGCATATATTTAAGGCCATTAAAAATTTGTCTGATAATGTCTATCCCTGTTTCTTCTCTCAGTTCTGGCTTGCTCTTTTCATTACCTGGATGCTTTATAAGTTAAGCTGCAAATGTCAGATTATTGATTCTCCAAGAGCATGGTTAAAATGCATATGTACTTTCTGGAAGCAGTGGAACAGGCTTTTCTTCCTTGTAATGTATGTGGATAAATTCATCGAATAGCCAAGTACATGACCCAAGAATAACTGTAAAACATCCATTTTAGTGGAGCCATTCAAACTGGAATAGGCAGTGAGTAACCACATAGAATGAACCTGAGGAGCCAGGTATGATTAGCCTAGAATGATGGAGCTGGATGCCGAGCTCAGAGGACTCCGGATGGAGAGAAATTCTACCTGATTTACAAACCTCACTTTGAGAGGCCCTTCTATGCTGGATCACTAGAACCAGAGCAGAGACACAGTTGCAGAATGGTAGCAATATCCATGGATATTTCTGAAATTGTTATATTTTGTCTGGTTCCCAAAAACAATAATTACCAATTTGCTCTTCCATTCAACTCACATTTTACTGAGAATCTCCCATGTGCAAAGCATTGTCCTGGAAGAAGATTCAAAGGAGCAGCACAGATGCTGGTTTTAAGAGTTAGCGTCTAATAGAGATGTGGCATATACAAAAATAACCATGATACAAGGCAAAAAAAATGAGTTCAGAATAAAATTTTAAGGGAATTCAGAAAAGAGAGTGAGTACTTTTGAGAAGAGTCGGGGAGGTGTTAAAAAGTGTTAAGTGGATGTGGAAGTATAGGAAAAGCAATATAAATATGATGACTAGTGTAAGAATTACTCATAGGAAAGCTATCAGCCATTTAAACTGGCTAAAGTGAGACTGTGTAAAGGTAGTTGGTGGAGGTGCTGTAACAAGTTCACAAGCATGCTGGCACTGGTTCACTGAGAAAATTGAATGTTGGGATAAGGGCAGTTCAGACCATTTTATGCAGCAAAAAGTTATCACTATAACAATGGATTTAATAGACTAATCTGAGAATTCAGTGTAAAACGAATTAGAGGGAGAGGTTAGAGACAAAATATTTGGTTAGGAGTCTAAATTCAGTTGGTGATTATGAGACCATGGGTAGGAGGAACCCATAAGAAATGAAGAGGTAAAACCAGAAGGTTTCACGTCTTACTGAATGTGAAGAGCAAGGGAGAAATTAGGGATGTAGTTGGGATAGAAAAGATGTAAAAGGAAAGTAGAAAAATCAGTTTGGTAGGTACGATGACATTCTACTAAGAATGTAATGCATTGAACATACAATATCGAACACTCAAGAATGGATGGCCTGTAGGAGACAGGAAATGTGGGACAGAAACTCTTGTTAGAATTAACTTAAAATTAACTTTAGAATTGCCTACATGTGGTTAGCAGCTGAAGCTATGAGACAGGACAGAATTGCATGAAAGAATCGAGAAGAAGATTAAAGAGCCAAGGCTAGATTTGGGGAAATCCTTTCATTTAAGCATTAGGGAAAGTAAAACCAGTGAAGAATAATGAGATGTTAGAAAGCAGAGCGGTGTAGGAGACTTCAGAAAGCAAGAGGATATTTCATGAGAAAAGAGATAATCACAGTGTTACAAGCTGAGAGGCATGCAGATAGAGAAAAGGGCAATAGGCTTAGTAACCTGGGAGAAAACAGTTTTATTAAAATGTTAAGAATGGAATCCAGATTACAAAGTGTGACTAGGTAAAAAGGAAGTGAGAACACTGAGCTTACAGTATACAAGTATCCAGGAAGTTGGAGCAAATGAAATACTAAAGGGGATATTTGATAAATGGGACCCCAGGGGAGAAAATAGTGGGCAAATGAGGAAAGGTTCTTGGAGAGCACATATATATGTATTTTTGATTTTCTGAAAAGTGAAAAAGAGGCAAGGTAGAAAATTTGTAGAGAAATGCCAGGATGTAGATAAGGATCGTTGTGGGAACTTAGATGGAGTTAATCTTGCCTCTTTTAAAGCATGAAGCAAGGAAATCTAGTGAGGGGAGGAATGAGACTAAGGCTTTTCCCTAATCCTAATTTTCTCTCCTTATCCAAACCTAGGCATATACAGTGTACACTGACAAGTGAATGGATGTGGTCAAAGCTCAATACTTGAATCTTGACTACACCATTTTACAAGAATATGGGTAAATTACTTAAATTCTGAGTCTCAGTTTTCCTGTCTGAAAAATTGGATAACATTATCAAAATTATAAAATTGATTTGAAAATCAAATGATTTAACATAGGTAAATGTCCATGCACAGCACAATACATGAAGTAAGCACTAAATAAATATGCCCTTCCTCTTCTTACAGAAGGCATAGGATTCCCTTGGATTTAGCTGTGTTTCTCTCTACTCAGCATTGGTTTATCTTCAGGGTTATATACGGAGAAGAAACCTTGAGAGAGGTCTACCTTAAGCACAAATACAGAAAAATCAGCTTGAGTCTAAGAATTCAAAAAGTGCATTTGTATACTCTTAGCAGAGAAATTGGGTTTCTGACCAAATGTTGAATTCACAGCTGTATTTTTTAAAAAATGAAACTGTAACTGAAGGATCCTGTCAAAAGCCTGCTGCTGATATCTAATTTATGGCCAATTAGAAGAGCACCAGGGCTTCATCCCATGCAAACAGATGGCAGACATTAGCACTGTCAACAAAAGTAGCTTCCTTTACAAATTTACAAGCGAGGTACCATGTTCCGTAAGCCAGTGATTATGCTTTATCATTCCAGAGGGAGAGCAAAAGAACATTATTGTAACTAATCATGCATGTCATTGACAAACCAGAAGATGATAAACAGATACATGGTGTCCTCAAAGGCATTCTCTAAATATTGGTTTTTTGTAGTCTACTTATTATCTTAATAAGTACCTGCAGTGATGTCAAAATTTATGAATATTGTATAAAAAGAATATTAGTCTAACAGAACCATCCATTAATAAATTTCTTAAATATATAAAAAACAATTAAGTACCTTTGGTACCTCTTATTTTGGAATCTGTGAAAAGAAATAAATATAAAACTAAGTACAGTCATTCTTTAGTATCCACGGGGGATTGGTTCAAGGACCCCCTTTGAATACCAAAATCCACAGATGCTGAAGTCCCTCAATATAAAATGGCATAATATTTGCATATAACCTATGCATGTCTTCCCTGTACTTTAAAATATATCTAGGTTACTTACAATACCTAATAAAATCTAAATGCTATGTAAAAACTTGTTATACTATATTGTTTAGGAAATTACGAGAAAAAAATTCTATGCATATTCAGTAAAGGTGTAACCAATGTCTTTTTCAGCTAAATCTTTTTGATCTACAGTTAGTTGAATCCACAGATACAGAATGCATGAATATGGAAGGCTGACTGTATACTTTTGTATTCTGTAATCTGTTATGCAATGTCTGCTTATTCACCGTTATGGGAAGCTGTTTAAACTAAAAGTTCTATTAAGATAATTGATTTTTTGACACATTGAGGATCATTTTGACAATTGTTCAAAGACAGCAACTTATAATTATTAGTAAACCTTAAAGAGTTGTATATTTTTCCCCAGGAAATTAAGATTTAAATTATCAGGGTCCTAACTCTATCCCTGATTCACTGTGTTGCCTCTGAGATACAGCCATACTGGTTATGAAAATGGAAACATTTTCATGCTGGATGGTAAATAGCACTCGTCTGAGATCCCTGCATGTCTCTCCCACTCCTCTTCTGCCCCAGTTGTCTGATTGCCCCCTACTCCTAGGACATTCTAGATCCTTCTTTAATCCAGCAAGTAAGGAAGTGACATCTGGCAAAAACCGGGACTATTGTCCATTTTTGTTGGTCAGTTCCTGGGCCCTACTGGCCATTAATTATCTTTCCTTTCACCTCTGATAATGTCAAGCTAAAATATAATGTCCTATTATCAATTGTTTTCATGCTTTTGCTTTACCAGGCCCATTGTTTAAATAAAATCAATTAGAAAGAAAACAGAGGAACTTTTCTGTTTGTCATGGGAGTAAGACTCCTAAAGGATCCAGTGGTCTTCATTCTTTCCCTCAGAATCACTCCAGGTGATTCTTGAGGCCCTTGTGGGACCCTAGAAGACACTAAGAATGATTTATACAGCACACATGGCTGATGATGTCCCTACCATCAGTGACACTCTGTGATGTTTTCTCATACCATGGGGCCAGTTTTGTTATTGGGACAGTCTAGGAAGTAGAGACCAAGAACTAGCCCAGAGTAAATGCAGTGTGATAGAGCATAAAAATTATGAAATTAGGAGGAAATGTCAAGCATGAGATTGTAGGGCATTGCAAGTAGCAATCTCTGAAACTGAGATATCTCTAGATATCAGGGAAGTCTGGGTTACCATGTTTCAAGTTTTTGACCTCCCCAAACTATAGTCACCTGATATATTCATGCCATATATTTAAAAATGTACCAAGACTCTCACCATAATTGGGGAGCAACTCATAAGATCAAGGTTGATCCCAAGGTCCATAAATAATAAAGTAGCAAATATATTACTGAAGAGGATTAGACACAGAGAAAAACGTCACTGGAGTTGGCAAACTAAAGACTATTCCTTGACACCCAGACTGGAGCCTAAGTATTAAAACTGGGTATGTTTTAATAGATTTGGCATTAGAGCTAGACTAGGCAATTTTTATATTTATTTATAGAGAAAGATAACAAGGAATGTCTGATTCCTGTGTCAGGTACTGGGATACTGAGATGAACAAGACACAAATTCAAAATAGGTTTGAAAACTGAATATATGTATAGAACCAGCTCAATTAGAGACAAATTGGTGTCTGTATTAAAATGGTTTTTTGTTCCTTTACCAGTACTAGTAGGAAAACCTCAGTGCCTTCCACATGTAGCCTCTGTTTAGAACTCGTTTGTAACTCTTTAGCCACAACAGCATCAGTCCCCAAGGATACAGCTTCTGATGCTGGTCTCTATCTCAATCTCCTCCCAGCCGCATTGCTTACGGTGAGTTTGTGTCTTCCTCCATTTCCTGTTACTGCGTTTATTCAGATATTCAACTCCAAGTTCCAGGGGCAAAGAAACAGAAATACTGAATCCATGCTCTGGGA
This sequence comes from Homo sapiens, assembly GCF_000001405.40. Lineage (NCBI taxonomy): Eukaryota > Metazoa > Chordata > Mammalia > Primates > Hominidae > Homo > Homo sapiens. The sequence goes on from NC_000010.11 coordinate 52,139,553, forward strand.
TAGGAAGATCACACAGTGAACCAGCCATGCAGGAACCTGCATGGCCATTGGAACCCAGAGTGCCAAATGGGATAGAAATATGTGGAGAAAATAGTATTTATGTAACTCTTCTCAGGGAGGTGCTATTGGTGTTTCTGATAAGCAACTTGGGATTGGGGGGTAAAGCTCACCAAGGTGCATACTCAAGGTAGAATAGGTGATCACTAAACTGCCTGGTAGGTTGCATTAAGTGTGGGAGTTTTATCTTCTGAGTGGGGTCTCCAGGCATGACTCTATTATAGAACTACATGACTCGGACAAGGGGTTGGCAAACTTTTTCTGTAAAGAGCCAAATAGTAAATATTTTAGGCTCATGGGACAAATTACCTTTGTTGCAGCTACTCAACTCTGTCTTTGCAGTGCAAAAGTAACTAAAGATGATATGTAAATGAATGAAGACAGATGTGTTTCAATAAAGCTTTATTTATGGACATTGACATTTGAATTTATATCATTTTCTTATGTCAAGAAGTATTATTCAGCATTTGATTTAGTTCTCATCATTAAAACATGTAAAAATCATTCTTATCTCATGACCATACCGAAAATAAGCAGCTGACAGAATTTGGCCTGTTGGCCATAATTTCTTGACCCCTGACTTAAACAATATTAGAAAGTGGAGGGCTATCCGTAGTTGTCCTGCTCCAGTTTTTCTCCATCCTGTATTCAGCTTTTTAAAATAAAGCAAATACATAAAAAGAACTGATTTGAAGCGTCTGATCAGCACTGCCCATGGTGTCTTCCAGTGCTGCTCCTCCTGATGCCATCTGTCTGTTTGTCTTCCAAACACTGGCAGGCATGCTTTACTCCATCCCCTCAATTTCTTCACTTCACTCTTCTGTACACATCTTCTGTAACTCTTTCGCATTGTATCCCCATCCCACTCCACTCCCCATGCACACACCTCTTTTTATAGTTGATTCCTGCACCTCTTAATTCCACTCTTGCATTCTCTAGAAGTTTGCTTCAGATTTTGCATCAATTTGGTAATAGCTAACTAATTAGAGATTAAAATGGTTCTCTGCAATAGTTATTTGCATTATGATAACATACCCCTGAGGAATGACAAATCGTGAAAATCCAGAAGAATCTTTCAGAATGTCAGGTGCCATTGGGGGAGAGAAGAGGGAAAGTAGAGGGGAGATTTGGGGACAGCAAACCCTTGCAGGCACCACTCTAAGATCACCAACTAGGTCAGTCTCAGGAAGGAACATGCACCCAATGGTGATTTGCCCACCGAGGTCACCTGTATTCTTCTTCTTATATAGCTTGTCACTCTGTGTCCACATGATAGGACTGTATGAACTCCACATGTCACATCGCCCGTTGTCACATTGCTTAACTAATAGGATGATACACTTAAAATATTTCACAGCCTCAGCCTTTCCTACAGCCTAAGTGGATTTTATTTTGGTTCATTTTCCAGAATAAAATCTAGGGTGATGTGAGGATATTGGCAGGATGGTCACAGGAAAACAAATGTGCCTTTTTAGAATGGTGTCAGCTGCAATTATTTGAACTTGTCTTTTTTTACAGAGCTGTTATTGACTGGTGTGCTTCTCAAAAAATGTGTATTAAGCAGGAAAGATAAAATCTAGAGGTTTAGAAGAAAGAGTAACATTATATTCATTCAATTTAATGATGTGGGTTGAATTATAGCATGCCCTGAACAAGCATGATCTAACTACAAAATAAGTACATTCTCATTCGAAAAGGAGTATACCCTGAGACAACATTTGTGGTTTAAAGTCATGGAAAGAGACAGTTGAGACAACTCCTCATGTTTGCCTGGCTTTGAAATGGTAATAGACATTCATCCTATTTCAAGTCCTTATAGCAATGATATACAGCATGACTGACTGGGATGCCCAGACTGTTGGTTCATCCACCCAACCAGAGCTTACTGGTTACCTGCCATATGTGAACCATCCAGACATCTAGTATTTGGGGGTTTAAAGGCAAATATTTAAATATTATATGCTTATTTCCATCTCTGTTATATGGATAGTTTCCAGCAATAATCTGTTAAGCCACAAACTTACAAAGGTTCTCTTTAGTAACCTTTTGACTCTGCTCAAAGTAAAAGAAGTCCAGTCTCAATTTTTAATATGCTGGTGGGCCATCAATCAAAATTTAACACACTTAAGAAATTATTGTTAAAAAATGTATATGGTAAGTGGATAAGTCAGAAAGTCATAGAAGAGATTTAAGAAGGAGAAGTAAAAGGGAACATACAAACCAGAGCTTACCAAGCGTTTTTTAGAAAAGGCCAAACAATAAATATTTTCAGCTTTGTGGGCCAAACAGTCTGTGGCATGAAAACTCAATGCCATTTCACCCAAGGGCCATAGTTTTCTAACCCCTTTTATAAATAAACTTATTTCACAGTTGAAGAATTTGAGTCCCAGAAGTGTCAGGTATACTCAAATCACACTGTTTAATAAGAATTAAGACAGATCGGGTATTCACATTCTTACACTATAATGCATTTGTTATATCTCAGGATTTTAGAAAATAATGAGGGTTTGAAAAACCTCTTTTCCGAATCCTTTAGTTTAAAAATGAGGAAGGCGAGTCCCAGAAGGAGTGTGGATTGTCCAAGCTCTTTAATGTTAAGGGTGGGATTACAGCACAGGCCTCATAACATCTGTTTCAGTGATTTTTCACCTACCCCACATTATTCTGTAAATGACTAAGATAGAAAACTCATACATTTATTAATTCAATAAGCACATACTGAGAGTATCAAGTGGGTTTTATGCTCAGTGCTATGATATATAGGGATGTCTAAAAAGAGTTTCCTTCAAGAATCTTGGAGTCATGAAAATGAATAAATCGTATGATAGTCCACCTGAAAAAGAGGAATTGATGGCTTATGAATTGAACTAAAATATTTTCATTGAATTAAATCTTAATCTAATTACACTACTTCTAAATATATATAGATATATGGATCTTTATAGATATCTCTCAATATATAGATCAATCGATCAGTGGTAAAATATTTGAGTTCCAAATGACTCTTCAAATGGATAAGAACCTCACGAGTCACATCTCCATCATCCTGGCTAAATATTTGGAATTAGAATTTAAATGACAATTTTATCAATTCAGCTAATAAATTTATTTCATTAAAAACATGTGGGCCCTTACTAGCTCACTCCCCTCACATCCCATAACAGCTTTGGTTCGCCTGTTGATTTTCATTGTACCGTCCTTTTACTTGCCATACCATACATTTACAACACTCGTTTATCTGTATTAACTTACAAACTACAAGCTTAAGGAGGACAGGACTATGTTTATTTGGTTCACTACTGTATCCACAATTAGCACAGTATCAGGAAATATAATAAGCACCTACTATCTATTGAAATGAACGAATGAATGAATGGATGATGCCATATTAGTCTGAATCTAATCAGCATATAGTAATTTGAGCAGCAAAGTGTTATGATAAAAAAAAATAGTAACTATAATAGGGGACTGGAATAATAAGGGATTACCAAGTAAGAAGCAAAGAAAGCTTTAGAACATATAGAAATAGCAGCTATAAGGAGTATTCACTAACACTACTCCTGTGAGAGAGAGCACCCAGTGAAGACACCTCCCTTCTTGCCACCCCCCAGCCTTCCCCATTCCACCCTGCTGAGGCTGAGAGTTACACCTTGTTATAGAGCAGGGTCCCTGAAGCACACCACTATTGACATTTGGGGTCAGATAGTTGTTTTGTGTTGCGGGGGCGGGGCTGTCATGTACAAAGTAGGATGTTTGGCAGCATCCTGACCTCTACCCACTAAATAGTAGTATCCCTCACCTCTCCAGTGTGACATTCAAAAGCATGCCCTGAGCAAGCATTGCCAAATGTCTCCTGTGGGGTGAAAATCACCCCCTGTTAGGAAGGATATAGTCATTACTTACTGGATGTCAGTGAAGTCTCTGTGATGCCAAGCCAATAGAACTTGTGCCAGGAATCTGCACTGTAGGGTGCAGGAAAGCTCTGTAAAGGGAGAGCTTTAAAACCACCTGAGGGGAAGTCCGCTGGGGAAGCTGCTGGCTGCCATGTACTGTAGTAGCCAGACACAAGAGAAACCTCAAGAGCCTACCAAGAACACTGGAACCAGGAAGCTGAACCCTTTTGTCCTTGAAGTATCTCCCCAATACCTTCTGCCAACAAAGTTTCAGTGCCAGTCAACCCGATCCACTTTTACAGAGCAGTTAAAAGAGTAAATTTTGGACTGAGAGGGAATAAATCAATTATCCATACAGATTCCAAACCAAATCCTATTCTGGGATCCAGAGATATAAAGGTGAATAGCAAAGTCTTCTCCTTCTTTGGATTAACTCTTGGTCCAAACAGATGCATTCAAAAATCAGCATGAGAAACTGCATTTTGAGTAAGAATAAAATACTTGGGGAACATTGAGGATGGAGGAATATGTTTGGCTGGTAGCATCCCAGAACTTCCTGGACACTATAACATGAGAGCCAAGTTGTTAAGTTTGAGTAGGTATATTACAAGTGAGGAAGGAAGGGTAAAGACAGCTACTGCTGAGGGAAGGACCTGTATAGAAGACAAGGAATTTAGAAAGACCTTTGTACAGTAATAAGGGGAGTGTGGCAATAACAGAGGATTTATGGGACAAGGAACTGGATAATTAGGAGGAAAGCTGGAAGATGTGTTTGGAAAGAAGAGATGGGGATAGATAGTAAATAAATATCCTAGTATCTCAAACTAAAATAATCTAGATTTATTTTGGGGGCAATAAGAAACCAACAGAGAACCATTGGAACTGTATTTTGTATCTGTTTTCGAAGGAAGAGAGTAGCAGATTAATTACAATGGGGAGGAACTCAAACAGGCAGACTTTTAAGATACTGCTGCAGTAGTCCTAAAGGATGTTCATTAGAGCTTAAGAGCCTTAACTTTAGTCTAGGGCCAGGCACAGTGGCTCATGCCTGTAATCCCAGCACTTTGGGAGGCCAAGGCAGGTGGATCACTTGAGGTCAGGAGTTCGAGACCAGCCTGGCCAACATGGTGAAACCCTGTCTCAACCAAAAATACAAAAATTAGCCTTAGCCTAGCATGGTGGCACACACCTGTAGTCCCAGCTACTTGGGAAGCTGAGGCAGGAGAATTGCTTGAACCCAGGAGGTGGAGGTTGCAGTGAGCTGAGATCGCATCACTGTACTCCACCCTGGGCGACCGAGCAGACTCTGGCTCAAGACACAAAAATAAAAATAAAAATAAATAAACTTTAGTCTAAAGTAGATTTTTATTAATAATTAAATGTGAGGGATGAAAGGGAAATGTTTCTAGTTTAGGAGACTTGGATGTATTTAATAAATAAAGAAAAAATAATAGATGTATGTAATAGATAAAGAATAGAACAAGACAGAGCAGGTTGAGATGGAAGTAACTGGCTGATTCAGTTACGGATATTGCAAGCTCAGGCTGCCTAAGTGATATGCAGATAGTCAGCAGATGTCCATTGGCAGTTAGAAATGTGAGTTTTGTTTTGTTTTACTTTTTACAATCAGATGATGAATGGAAATTGATGTTGGAGTTCATAATTATTTTAAAAATATAATAATCACAGCTTTGATTACGTTAATTACAGTTATTGTTTTGTTTTGCACCAATGAATAAATAATTCATTTTTTTCCAGTAAATGCTTGAAACCTTACTATATTTCTAAGACTTGCATTTTTGTCCATTGGATGTTATAAAACTTGTTATTTAGAAATTCACAATGTCTTCGGAACTCATAAACAAGTTGTATGAGTGAATAAGAAAATATAAAAGATTTCAGTTTCTAAATCATAAATATCCATCTTAATTTCTTCAGTTAAAAAGATAATATTTGAAATTTTATATTTGAAAATCTCTTTACCTTTTTTATGTACAACATTTGGCTGTTTATTTGAGGAGACGTTATAATGCTTCTTGTGTTCCAGAGGTAAACCAGGGAGGTGGAGGGCACCAGGATTTATTTCTGACAGAAGCTTAGCAATCAGTTTAAAAATTCACTGTATAGTCATGAAGTTTGAGAGTTGAATTCTGCTTTAGACATCCACAGCACTTTTTTGGTGGAGTTAAATGGTTTTGCTTACTTTAGTATTCACACTTGCCTGGTGAGACAGTTATTACAGGCCCAGCTGGGTCATAAAGATCTAAGACTTTTCTTTTCTTTTCAATATGTCTAGCAGTTGGTACTCGTTTTGGAACTCATAGCATGGATGTATGAATTGGATTAGCATCAGCCACAATAACAGTGAAACTTCATTCCCAGACAGCTGTGTTTACAAAGGAGGCCTTTTTAGAATTTACTTCTTTGCATAAAGTACAATGATCATATTAGCCATTGCTTTGCTACAGTCATATAATTGAATTAGTTTTAAATGGAAAGCCAGACTAGCAAAGGCAAATCATGATTTGCCTTTAATAGGCAAGAAGGGTGTTGTCCTCCTAGCTGCACTGGAGACAGTACATTGTCATCTAGACAAGAAACCCACTTGGGCTGAATAACATTTTATTTAATTATTTTTCATTATTCCCATGGGGTTCACTTTAAATCTTCTCTCTTTTTTTACCTTTCTAATATAGTCTATGTCATATGATTATAAATGTAATAACTGTTTGTTTTAGAAAGATTGGAAAGCATAGAGACATATAAATATAACCCTACCATTCAAAGGGAATTACTGTTGATAATTTCGTGTCCTTAAATAGTGAGATAATTCTGCCTAGATATTTTTCTCCTGCGTTGTCTACATCCTGGGGCAGCATTAATAAATCACATACACACAGATAGAGATATTAATATATACACATAGATGCTAGATGTACTATAGATAAATAGTCATTAATTTTTCTCACAGCAAACTTGCAAGGAATTCTTTTTTTTCTCCATTTCAAAGGTAAACTAAGCTTCACATAGCCAAACTGTCAGGTTGCAAAACACACAGCTTGTAAGTAAAGAAATGGTATTTGAGTATAATTCTATTTTCAAAGCCTATTATAGCACATACTTTACCACGTTGCATTAGCAATTTACCATGTTAATAAAAACACTTCATGTATAATTGAGTTTCTTTGTCATAGTTTCTTGACTGTGCTTGGGCATTTAAGCTCATTTTAATTTTTTATTTTGTAAAGAATTCTCTGTGTTAAACTTTACCCCTGTTTTAGAAATATGCAGTATTAGAATTACTGATTCAAAGGATATGTATTTTTTAAATTATTGCCTAGAATCATTATACAGTTTACTCTCCAGTGACAATATATGAGAACATCTGTTCCACTGCACCCTCGCCAGCTTAAGTTTTTGGTTGAAACAACATGACTGGGGTGAATCAGCCCAAGGCATTAGTTACATCACCGTCCTAAAAGAGTTAGTTTGACATTTGTTCTTTTCTTGCAGTTGAGACATGGAACTTAATTATGGACAGAATCTGGAAGATTGTTCATTCTTTAGTGATTGCTTCTTTGTTCTGGAAAAGAATAAACAAATCTGAGACTTCAGAAAACTGGGAGTAGAAATGAGCTCAAATAAACTTCCTCTGAAATGTCAAAAGTAAATAGTAAAGGCCAACAAGGTACCTAAAGAAAGGGTAGACAAAAGAAAAATGGAAATTATCCAAGTAATAACTTACATAGGAACAAAACATTATGACTTGAGAAGATCCCAGTTTATAGATGATATAGATTGTGGTCAGTGGTGGAAAAGAAAGGAAGAGTTCACACAAGCTAATTTATAAATTTTCTCAGCATCCAAATATGATGTTTTTGTTTTAATACACTCATGTCAGCTAATCCCCACAATAGCCCCATGGGACCAGAAAACAAAAACAGTTTCAGAGAGAAATTAATGATCAGAAAGACCCAGTGACTTGGTCAGAGTTACATTGCTGTATTGGAATTCCAGGCCTGTCTGCACTAAGACCATGCTCTGCCAATTATACCAACTCTTGCTTTTATACCAACAAAGTAAGTGGTAACTGGAAAGCGTGGTTGTGTTTGGGGAAAGAGTAGGGTGGGAGAGATTAAAGGCAGCGAAACAGAGGATGCTTCTGAAGTAAGAATGTCAATAACCTGAATAAGGCAGTAGAAGTAGAAAGGAAAAAGAGGAACAAATTCAAGAGAGATTGCAAAGGTAGACCGGATGGGCTTGGGTAAAAGGGAAAGGTCATAGATAACACCAAGATTTCTATCCTGAATTATTGGTAGGTGATAATGCCATTAGAAAGTCAGAAAACCTAACAGCAAGTCTGGATGGAAGCTGGTTAATACAGTTATGGTTAGGTTGAGCTTGAGGTACAGGTGAGACATGCATATGACACTGAGAAAAATGATGACAATATGTATCCGGAGAGTTCAAGGATACGGATATAGATTTGAAGGTCATCGGCCTGGGGATCTGAACTGAAGTCTTAAGGTTAAATATTATTTTATGGGAAAACTTAAATCAGTGTACTATGTAAGAACTAAGTTCTAATAAAAATCAGACTCCTGGGATCAAATTCTAGATCACTTTCCAGCTATGTGGTCCCAGGCAAGTTTATGTAACCTCTCTTAGCCTTGTCACTTATGTATTCTCATCTAGGTAACATTGGCAATGCCTGGAGACATTTTTTGTTGTCACAACTGGGTTTGCTACTGTTATCTTAGTGGGCAGGGTTCAGGGATGCTGTTAACCATCCTACAATGCACAGGACAGCTCCCTAAAACAAAGAAGTATCTTGTCCAAAATGTCAGTAGCTCTGAGTTTGAGAAACCGTGCTGTAAGTATTCTATAAAGCAGAGATAACTGTACTTACCTTGTAGAGATGTTGTGAGGTTTCAATGAGATCATGAAGGTAAAAAACAAAACTGAACATATCTTAAACAAGAAATATTTAAGAAAACAAATTTAATATATTGAATAGAAAAAAAAAGGCAAAGGACACAATTTGGGAAACCATTTACCTTTAAGAAATGTCAGAGGAAGAAATGTGTGTCACATATACTGAAAGGTAGCATAGAGGGAGAAGAGAAGAATCGGGAAAGTGGGGCATCAGTGATCAGCACAGAGCCCCTTAGTGGAGTGCCATGAGCGTCTATTGCATGACTGCAACCAGGGAAGAAGGCGAGCAGGACCCTGAACCTCAGATAGCTCACCGAGGATGGGACCTGGAAAGAGACCACTGGGGTGAATGGTTAGCAGAGTCGTGATAACTTTGAGGGAAAAGTTGTAATAAGGGTGAAAGAAAGATGGGAATAGAATTCCAGGCAGCAATAGGCTGAGAATTAATGAAAAATGAGGATAAGACATAGGAAAAGCAGCTTCTTCACACTGACTATTTGACCACAGAGGATAGTTTTGCTTTTTTTTTTTTTTTTTTTTTTTTTTAGGTTTGGAAAGAACATCCTGTTTAGACTGAAAAGAAAGAAAAGTCAAAAGGGAAACAACAAAACAATAAGAAAGATTGTAATTGATGGAGCAAGAGTCCAGAGGAGAAAGATGAAAGCCTCTGTGATTAGTAGCAATGAAAAGGAGACTTGTTTTAGAAAAAACATGGGGTACTTCCTATGGCAGAAAAGTACGATGATAATGTCACTGCACTTGAAGTCCAGGGAAAAAATGCAAATCTATTTAATAAGATTTTCATTTGTAGCTTTTGAAAGGTTCATAAAAAGCTGAGTTCTTTTTATGAACCTTTCAAAAATTACAAATGAAAATCATATTAAATAGCCCAAATACACAAGAAAATGTATTGTCTAGACTGCCATTGGTGTTCCCTCATTAGACTTCCTATTAAGGACTGAATTATGTCCACCCCAAATCCATATGTTGAAGTTCTAACCCCCAATGTGACTGTATTTTGAGACAGGGCCTTTCAAAAGGTATAATAATTAAGGTTAAATGAGGTCATAAGGGTGGGGCCCTAAACCTGTGGGACTGGAGTCCTTGGAAGCCAGGAAAAGACACCAACAGGGCGCACATGCAGAGGAAAGGCCATGTGAGGATGCCGTGAGTAGGGGCCTGTTAGCCAAAGGCAGGACAAAATAACTCACCAGAAACCAAACCTGGTGGCTCCTTGATCGTGGACTTCCAGCCTCCAGAATGGTGGGAAGATAAATTTCTGTTCTTTAAGCCACCCAGTCTGTGGCATTTTGTTATGGCAGCCTCAGGGGACTAATTACTTCCCTAAATGGAACTTTTATACACATAATACAATAGGAGAAAGAGGTGACCTATTGAAATAAAAATTATTTATCTTAAGGAATCTTGGCCGGCTGTGATGGCTCATGCCACTTATCCCAGCACTTTGGGAGGCCAAGGTGGGTGGAATCACTTGAGGTCAGGAGTTCAAGACCAGCCTGGCCAACATGGTGAAACCTTGTCTGTACTAAAAATACAAAACTTAGCTGGGCATGGTGGTGGGTGCCTGTAATCCCAGCAACTCAGGAGGCTGAGACAGGAAAATTGCTTAAACCCAGGAGGTGGAGGTTGCAGTGAGCCAAGATCACCCCACTGCACTCCAGCCTGGGCAACAGAGCAAGACTCCATCTCAAAATAATAATAATAATAATAATAATAATAATAATAATTTGATTGGCCATAAGGGCAGGATTTGAGAGAGAGAGAAAGCAGATATTTAATACCAAATCTTAGACACAACTATTAACTAGATCACCTCAGATTTCCATATTGGGGAGATAAATATGGTGCCAATTACGGCTGGGATTGCAGATGTTGGAAACAGGTTGCCTTGGTTCAAATCCCAGTGTTGACACTTACTAGACATGTGACCTCGAGCAAATTACTTAATTTTCTTAGCCTTGATCACCTTACCTGTAAAACAGGGAACATCCATGTAAAATAGTTTGTACAATCCTAATACATGCTAGCTAGTATTTTCATGTTTTATTTGAAATTTTTATATTGCTAAGTTATATAAACATTAATTTGTGACATAAAGGGATGCATTCATTGGTAAGCTTCTAATTATTTTTTGGGAAAAGTATGTATTTCCCTTTCTAATCATGTAATGAGAGCAGAAATAAAAAGTCCAGTAATTGATTGATATTTATAAAAATGTTAAACTAATGTCTTTGTTTCAAGGAGTTTCACAGCATAAATAACAAAAAGTCTACTAAAACAGATACCTTGGGATAGATTTATTATGCCATTTTAGGATTTCACTTTCAAGTTGCTTAATAGAAAATCAGTGACTATCATAGTATTTGCATTCCCAAGATATTTTTCTTAGCCAGAGTTTCCCAGAAGCAGTTTTTAAATAGTCAGTTACTAAAAAGTGGATTGTTGTAACTGATATCTACTATAATTGATATGTCTATATAAACTAGAATATATCAGCTATAGATTTTTATTGTTTTTAATAAATATGGCCTATTTGTTTTTAGACAATTTTGATAGGATTTTTTTGCCAATTATACGAATTTGTAAATTTTAAATAATTTGTAAGTAGAGGAGCCTGAAATTTTTAAAAACATTTCTTTTAGGTTTTAGGGTACATGTGCAGTTTTGTTATATAGGTAAACTTGTGTCATGCGGGTTTGGTGTGTAGACTATTTTGTACTCAGGTACTAAGGGCCTAGTACCCAATAGTTATTTTTTTCTGCTGCTCACCCTCCTCTCACCTTTCACCCTCGGGTGGGCCCTAGTGTCGGTTTTTTCCTTCTGAAAATTTTTTAATAGATAAGACGCTCATTGTTGCCATAGATTCTGCTTTGAGAATACCAAAATTTGGAGAAAAAATTCACATTTGCTTCTACATAATTCTATCACAAAATGGTCTTAAAATTGAGAATTTACAGTGTTATGAAAAAATTAATTTAGTATTGATAGTTTGTTTCCATTGGGAAAGTATATTATTTTGATGAAATTAATTAAACATATGTGAAACTTATCATTGGTTTTCATGTCAAAACAGTGTAATCTGGTCCAGAAAAGCAGTGATAGGAAGAGTAATGTGTAATATCTACTTTTGTTAGTATGGATTTTATATAGTAAGGTAAAGAGAGTTGCTAACACTTAAAATAATTGTCCAGCCACAAAAAGTATGTCCATTGCATGGACCATTTGATTTAAGTATAGTTGAGAGATATTTATTTTTAAGGAAAAGGAAACATATAGACTGGGCACATTAGGGCAATCTATTCTTATATTTTCCTCCTAAACACTGAAAAGGCTAAGAACTATCACCTGAGATTTGATTCTAATTTCTCCTGCTTTTAATTGAAAATGAAAGTCATGCTACATTTTAAAATCCTTTCTTCCACTTTAATTGCAATTGGGATTCATGGATATAAATTTCATTATGGTCTAAAATAATTACCCTCATTTAATGTCCTCTATATAATTCAATGTTAAATTGCTAAGTGTTTCAAATCACTTTACCCGTATTTATACCAATGTATTGCTGTATTAGGATGCTAGGCATTCATTTTAACTAAGCCTTTGTCCTAAGAGTTCATATAGGTGGATACCCTAAGACATACAGAGGACTTTTAACTCATATATCTTAAATTTTAAATAAAACTTTGCTTCAGAAACTTAAGAGTTTGCTAGTCATATCCTGGGCACATACATATACCCAAATGAATAAATGAGTAAGTGGTTGAGCGAGTCCATCCAGCTATTTATTAATTCATTTTAAATTTCTATTACAGGCCAGGAAATACTCTAGTTCCTAAATAGAGATACTGATAAAGAAGCTAGACTAGGTGCCTGATCTCATGAAATGTACATTTTGGCATGAGGAAGACAGCAGATATTTAAACAAACAAAGTGATTTTTAGCTAGTGGTGAGTGAAAATGAGTTAAAATCACAGAGTGACATTAGGAAGGATTTTGAGTGAAGGCTACTTTGCATGGGTTGGTCAGTCCTGTATAAAGAGGAAACAATTGAGCTGAGACCTGAATGGTACTGAGAAAAAACCATGAAAATCTAGAGAAAGAATGTTCCAGGCAGAAGACAAAGGCCCTGAGGCAGATGCGTGAAGTATTCTATGGTCAAATGTAGCATGGGATAATTCAGAGAAGTTGTAGAGGTCAGCAGAAGAGTGACACGATCTGATTTATGTTTTTAAAAGATTACTCTGCTTACTGTGTAAGGATGAGAGAGGAAATAAAGGAAAAGGCAGTTACAGAATTCTTCAGTGAGAAAATGGCAGTTGAGACCCAAAGATAATATAGAAGAGGGGATTCATTTCAGATTATTGAAGTTAGAATATACAGGATTTGGTGTTGGATTAGATACAGAGGAAGGAAGAGGACAATCTAGAACAGGAGTCAGCAAATGTTTTTGGAAAGGGCCAGGACATTAAAGAGTATCTGTAAACGTGGACATTAAATAGCTCAGTTTATAGAGAAGGAGACTGACCAAAAACTAACAATTCCAGAACTCTGCAATATGCTCTGAAAAGCAACCACAAGGTATCAGATAGGATTCAGAAAGAGGCATATAGGTGGGGGTGAGAGAGAAAGTGAGTGGTCTAGGACAGTGCTTTTCCAAGGATCTGTGCTTAAGGACCAGTTTTGTTTTTATTTTCAGCCCATCCATTGTGGACAGATGTTTTTGTAAAACAAAATACAAATGAATTGCTAGAAAAATACAAGTGAAAAAAAGCATAGAAATAAATGCCACTCTTTTTTCCTATTATATTCAGCATACATAAAATCCTATTTCAATAAAAATATTAGAACAAACATAATGCCAGATAAAAGGAAAAAAATTGCCCCAATTAATCACATTGTCATTGAAAGCATGTGTACAAGTAATAAGGAAGATAATGGCTATTATACTTGTCTACCATCATAACAAAACCACAATTTATGAGTGAAATAGCAATTCTCCATTCTGACTGCAATTGGTACACTTTGAAAGAACACTGTGGATTTCACTGTCTAGTCTTTAATGTGTCAAATGTGCCTGTTTCTTGATTGTTAACTTTTTTGATCTAGGTTAGATGGATGATGGAAATGCCACTTGCAGGGAGTAATGTGTTCTTTAGCTGTTTTATGTTTTGTTTAATACACTCAGAATAGAGAAACCAGTCTCACAGAGTAGAACTGACGGGAACAGAAGAAGTGATTTTAAAGTAGTATCAGCATACTGCAAAAATTTATTTTTATTTATTTATTTATTCATTCATTTATTTTGAGATGGAGTTTCGCTCTTGTTGCCCAGGCTGGAGTGCAATGGCATGATCTCGGCTCACTGCAACCTCCGCCTCCCGGGTTCAAGTGATTCTCCTGCCTCAGCCTCCTGAGTAGCTGGGATTACAGGCATGGACTACCATGCCTGACTAATTTTGTATTTCTAGTAGAGAAGGGCTTTATCCATGTTGGTCAGGCTGGTCTCGAACTCCTGACCTCAAGTGATCCACCCGTCTTGGCCTCCCAAAGTGCTGGGATTGCAGGCGTGAGCCACTGTGCCTGGCCTTCATTTTTATTTTTATTCAAAATGGAACAAGTGATGTTCTATTTTAGTTAATCCTTCATTAGTAGCTAGTTCTATCAATTGCTCCTGTAAAGTATGGTTAAATTTTGATTATCTTTTGATAAGATAAATAGATTCTGAATTTATATACTTTAGGTTAAAATTAGCAAACTAATCTTAAAATAGCACACATTTAATAATACCCTCTTACTCATGACTTGTATGCAGCTTTTACCAAATGTTTCTCACCTTATGGATTTGACAGTAACAGAAATCTGTACCCTGTTCAAAAACACAAGTCCACTGATCTTGCGCTTGGATGTCTCAGCATTGTCAAATTGCTAGAAAAGTTCCTAAACTTCTGTGCTTATGTCTTTACAGACTAGCAACAAATAGTGGGCCAACTATACTTTGAGTAGCACTACTCTACAAAAAGATTGTGAATTCAGTCATCCTTAGAAAAGGGTGAATCATATATAGGAAACTTGTATATAAATATTTAAGATAGAATATTTATAATATCAAAATTGTGTGTAGGAAAATCTCAAAACACTTCTTTTTAAAACAGTGTTTCTCTTTTTACACCCTTTATTAAGATGCATATATTCCTTTTTATTTCAATATTTTTGGAGTACAGGTGGTTTTTGGTTACATGGGTAAGTTCTTTAGCGGTGATTTCTGAGATTTTGGTGCACCCATCACCCTAATAGCGTACACTGTACCCAGTACGTAGTCTTTTATCTCCCACCCCACTTCCACCCTTCTCCCCTGAGTCCCCAAAGTGCCTTATGTCATTCTTATGCCTTTGCATTCTCATAGCTTAGCTCCCAACTATAAGTGAGACATGATATTTGGCTTTCCTTTCCTGAGTTACCTCACTTAGAATAATGGTCTTTGACTCCATCCAAGTTGCTGTAAATGTCATTATTTCATTTTTTTATGGCTGAGTAGTATTCCATGGTGTATATATACCACATTTTCTTTATCCACTCATTGGCTGATGGACGTTTAGGTTGGTTCCATATTTTTGCAATTGTGAATTGTGCGGTTACAAACATGCATGTGCAAGTGTCTTTTTCATATAATGACCTCTTTTCCTTTGGGTAGATATACAGTACTGGGATTGCTGCACTGAAATCCCAGTACTACTTTAAAAGTTCTACTTTTAATTTTTTAAGGAATCTCCATACTATTTTCCATAGTGGTTATACTAGTTTACCTTCCCACTAGGAATGTAAGTGTTCCCTTTTCACTACATCCATACCAAAAATATGTATATATTCTTAACAGTTAAGGATTAAAAGTGAGAAAGAGTTAAAAATAAAATCTTAAGCTAATGTTTGTCACCAATATTTCAACAGTAGAATTACTAGATAAGCAAATAAACAAAAAAATCGAGAAGTTTAGTCATTTCATATTGGATATTTCTATGTAACCAGGCGTGTCCTACATGCTTGACTGGATAGTTTTCCACACTTAACCATTAAGTTGGTTATAGTATAAGCACAGACAGCCTAAAATCAAGTAAGTACTAAACCAATACAATTTCAACTTTGAAATAACTGAAAAAAAATCAAGGAGGATACATGCCAAAGTGTTAACGTTTAGCTCAAGATTGTAAAATTACAATACATCTTTTATCCCTTAGAGTTCTTTGGTGTCTTTCAATTTGTTAACCTATTGCCATTGGACACACACACACACACACACACACGTAATTTTAAAATTCAAAACTAGATGATTTCATTTGATTATTATAATAAGCCTAGTCAACTTAACAAGACCCTGTCCTGGAAAAGACTGATTTATATGGACATATTAGACATGGAAACTTGATCACCACTAAGTCACTTTTTTATTTCTCAAAAGTGACAGTAAGTAAAAGGAGATAATTCCTGAAATTAATTCTTAGCTTTTTATTCCTTTGTGCATATGCCAGATTGGATCATTATTTTCAAATGGTGGTACCTTTTAAAGCACATAATTATAATCAGGAAACAGTTTAAATGAAGTGTTTGTTATTTGAAATCCATTTTTCTAGTGAATAATCCCCATGATAGACAGGGGGATATTATTACAAAGCAAAGACACAGACAAACATCTAATACTCTGGTGTGTGTAAGTGTCTCTTGCAAATATAAACATGTGCATGATAAGAAAATACTAATAATTAGTTAGTTACTCATAAAAATGTAATTGCTTTCCATGAAATTACTATCTGATATGATTTTGAGTAGATGAAATTATTTTTATGCACGCTATAGCCTTCCTTCTGATAAGCATTCAGCTACTCATTACTTCTCACGTTCGTATTATAAGTCTTTGTGTCTTATCTGTAATATAAGGCTCTAAATTCCTCAAAGTTGTACTTTATTCCTTTTGCATAATCCACAGTAGCTTGAATTGTCCCTTATAGATAGTAGGTATTGTATATGTACATATGTGTGAGTTTGGTTGAATGGATGGACTGATGGATGGATGGATGGATGGATGAATAAATGGATGGATAACTGGGAAAATATGGATGTGGCTGGTTTTATTTTATTTGGGGGTAATTTTTTCTCCAAGGAAACATATATTCACATGATAGTTGATAGTATAAACCGCTAAGAATTATGATTGTCCCGTTATAAATAAAATAAACAAAAAATAACAAACATAAGAACACTTGAAGCCACAAAGTAAATCAAGGGATTTTCTGCATAAGTGTGTCAAAACAATGAAGGATCCCTCTGAAACCTTGGGCTTAGCTAAGTAAAACGTCTCAACTACTTTGGAACACTAACTTTCTACATTTTTAAATAAATATTTTTTTAAAAAGATTTAGATGAGATTCAGGTTAACAAAGCATAACGGTATAGCCTGTGAAATTAAGAAGGCGTAGCCAAGCATTCTGATAATACCTGACAAACATTTTGCTTAGCATTATTGAAGTGTTTGAAATAGCTTCCAATTTAAGATTTTACCTTTTACACTTTTTGACTTATAACATTTCACTATTAAATGTAAAAAAGAAAAAATCTGTTTTGAATGTTATGAGACTTTCTCCCACCCTATTTTTAATTTGAAAATATTCTATTTTTAAAATGTTTATACAAAATTCTAAGCCACTATATCATAATAAGGGATAGGAGATCATGAGAATTAAATCAACTAACTCATACACTGTATATACACACCAAGTATATATATATATACATGCACATATATATGTTGTGTATATATACACATATATACATATATATATTGTGTGTGAGTTAGTTGATATATATATATATATATATATATATATATATGTATATATATGTGATACTTTGTAACCTGTAAAGTAAACTTTAAATGCTATGATTTTTTAGCAGTGGTAATGCTGATCTCTGATGTTTGGACTGCCTTTCTAATAATTTAAAAGACCATTTCTGTCTAGATGAAGTCTCATTATATCACAACTGATGAACCGAATTATATTCTTTTTAGACATACCATTGAGTAATCAGCTCCCTTCAGAAGAATGTTTTGCCTTAATAATGAAAACATTTTAATAACTAAACTTATTACCCACTGAATTACGGTCATCCTTGACTTCTAAAACAGACACGTTTTCTAAAATGAGAAACAGCCTCTTAACTGATATTCCTAAGGACAATTTCTTTAAATGTCACCATTCTTAGTGTGTAAGAGTTATAGTTTCTTCTCCCTTTCTGTCTCCCTTTTTCCATCCACCTTTCACTCTTTCCTTCTTCCCTTCCTTGTTCTTCCTTCTTCCTTCCTCTTTCCTTTCTTTTCCTTCCCCACCTGACAAGTATGTCTAAACTACCATCATTAAACATGAAAGGGATTTCCCATTTGCTCTCTTTCAATATCTGTGTACTCAACTGATAATATTTTACCCATGCTCCTTAAAGTATTATGTCAAGACTTGTAAAATCAGATTTTCTATCCCAAGAAAAGTAACAGAAAATTTTGAATGAAATATGTGCATGCATAAAGGTTTGCTGTGGAGATGCCCTAAACTAAAGCCATTTGCTCGGTAACATGTCTTTAATTTCTTCCGAAATTAAGTTTAGCATGTAGAAATTTGGTATTTTATTTTACAATGTTAAAATGTAACGTGTGTATGAATTGTGTTTGTTTAAAAAGATAATTTAATGATTTTTCTGTAGTCACCTATATTTGTTAAAACTCATAAATAATATTTTCTGGTTTCTACTTATTCAGTTGCTGGAGTTTTCACAACATCTCATTATAATCATTTTCAGAATAGAATAACAATCAAAAAAAGGCATTAGTCAAGAAATGTCATAGGACCTGAGTAACTATTTAGAAAAGCATCTGATACCTATAGTAGTACTTTTCTGAATGTCTATTTGATGAGGGTTCACACAGATGTCAGGTGTTCCTACAGAGTGTCTGAGAGAAGGAAAAATGAAACACTAATTGGTTCATTTTTGTGCCAGGAGTGATAAATTCTATAACACCATCAATTATGCTTATCAAGATGTCTTAAATTACTCATTGATCAGTACAGGGATCTGCAGACAGTGGCAGTCATTTGGAACTTAATAATATTACTTGAAAATTCTATATTTTCTTAAACTTCCGGTTATGTATAATGGTTGACTTATTGTTTGAGGAGACTTAGAATCTATCAGCAAGACACATTTGTTTAACGTTTCAGAAAATGTATTCTTTTGGCTAGGATCATCTTCTAAGTAAAGATTATTTATTAAGGACCCATGGTTCCAATTCCAAATGCCAAGATTATAGTTCTGAGTATTTTTATTTTGAAAATAAATTCTATATATTTATAATATAGAGTATGAATAAAGATACTTGTGTAAAAGGTCTCCAACTCCTCCTTCAACTGTGTGTATTTGAGTATCTGTGATGTATTCAGCTACTAAAATATTGCTTAAGGAGTTTTTCAAAATAAAAGTAAATACTTATGCTATAATATTAAGTTAAAAATCATAGCGATGAAGATTACAAGTATGAACAACAATAAAGCTATGCAAAAAAATTAAAAGTAAAAGGAAATATATAAAGATACCTCCTCTAGTCATTTGTAGTTAGAGTCCTATGGGTGATTTCTTAATTTCTCCATTCAGTTTTAATTTTTTTATAATCAAAAATCAATTACATTTCAAATGAAATTTATAGGGAACTGAATTTAAAAATAGTTTTTATAATATTTTTACAGGTCTTTTGTAGGTACATATTATTTTCTCACTTTTGTCTAGTCATAAGAAATATTAATAAATATTGGGTCATTAGGACAACATAGAACATTCATATTTTAAATCAAGGACACTTAAGAAGACCTGAAGAAAGTTATACTTCAAATACTACTTTTGTTCGTTGTTTTTTAATGTGATACTTGTCACTGGATATGATATTATGAGGTTTAAAATGTGTTTTTTTCCAATCAAGCTCAACTTATTTTTAAGCTCATTGGGATGATTAGATGGTTTCTACTTTTAAAACTCCATCTAGCATAACCATATCTATGCTTTTCCATTTATTATATTTTGCTAAGAATTTCAAAGTGTATTTTCAAAATAATATTTTGTGGAGTTTTAATCTAGCTTAGTAGGTTGAACAGAATTTGTTAAGTTAAAAGTTTTAATTCTTGTCAAATTTATCATCAGTTTACTCTGTAATTCTTTGGTAATACGCTATCCTGTTTAAAGTGTCCTTAATTCAAATAGATAATAGAAGGAAGACAGGATTTTTTTAAAAAAAACTACTTGAACTCTCAGAATTACTATGAGTTTTAAATGCCTAATAACACAATCTCTTAATATATTGAAATGGATTTGAAAAACTAAGTTTTAGTAATTATTGCTGTTTGGTTTTCCTACATAATATTATTTGATTCTTCTCTTTCAATACCTTTTCATAATGTTTTGGATTTTGTTGTATTGTAAATATCCAAATATAAAGGACAGAAGCATTATGGAATATACATTCTGGTGGTGGACGTGCTGCTGAATTGCAGTCATCTTGGACAAGGAACTTAAACTGTGCTTGAGTTTTCTTATTATCTAAAAAACCCCCAGAAAATTAGCCAGATATTATCTATTTATAATAAAAGAAATATTATACTTTATGTTGTGAACGCGTCTAGCCTTAACATTCTCTAAACTCGGACTCCCTCTAAGTTTAGGTAAGGACCAAGACATTCTATGGGAAAGTGGGAAATTTTACCATATAAAGAACAATGACAAAAATAATATTTGAACATATTTTTCAACTGTGGGAATTATATTTATTATCACTGGTAATATACTTTTGAAAACTTTCTAAAGACTGTTGCCTATTATTTGTCTATTTAACAATCATTTCTTTTGGAATGAATTAATACAATTAATTACAGAAAGCTTTATATTCTTGAATATGATTCTTGATTCCCCGTGTCTCTGTCTAATCTTTTTTGGGGTCCCTTTATGTATAGAAATAGTTCATGTATTAGGTTCAGCATTCTGGTTACCATGCACTCTAGATGAGCTCACTACCCAAGGGTCTGAAGTAACAGCTTCTCCCTTCCCCTCCACCCACCCCAAGAAGGATGTCATGTTCCTCTTTATAGTTTTTCAAAATAAAAAAGTATATGTAAAAGCAATTAAGGAACATTGCATTTTAAATCAGCAAGCACCTTACTATGTTTCAGGACCTGACCATGCATAACTTATTGTTTAATACTCACAACACACAAACCATTTACATGTATTAAGCTGACAGAGGATTAAAATGAAATGTAATTTCTTACAGTATTTTAAAATTATCTCCATTATAATTAGAGATTATAATACTAACTCATAGTATTTCAAAATAAAAGAATTAACTTTTATTTTGAAAAACCTCATTGGAACTATTAAAGTATTTGTTATTACATATAAAGCACTTATAGCAATGCCTGGCATATGAGTACCATGTAAGTGAGGATCTGATTATCATGTGGGTCCTGGGACTTCTGAGTATAGACTTTCACTTTTTTCTTTCCTTCATTCCAGTTCAGTAGTTGCTAGAATGTAGTGTACAGTAAGAGTTACTGTATCTGGTTGTATTCAGTAATTTTCAAGGGCGATTCTGGTATACATGTGTGTATTCATTTTGTGTTGGCGCTATAATATTTACAATTTTAGTGACACAATTGATGATGCTTCACTATAGAAGTCTGAATACAGTTCCAGGTGCATAGTAGGATATTGAATAGATTGGATTTAAGCAGTTAAATCATTCCTCCTGTTATATGCTAAAGTTGATTTTTCACTCTTCCAAAATGAGTTAATTTTTCTGTGATCTTCTCCTTTTGTTTTCCTGTATTCTTCATATTTATTTTGCCTGTGAACCTTAGTTTACTATTTTGTTAAGTGGAGATAATGATGCTTGTTTTTCAGAATTTGTTTGAGAATTGTAATTAATATATGTTACTGGTAATTTAAATAACAGTACCTGGCATATAGGAGGCACTCCATAATTGGTAGATCTTGCTGTCATTTCAGTATTTTAATTGACTGATTAACTTTGTGGTGTATATCATTTAGTGTGTCACAGACTTTATTCCAAACAATTATTTGAACATCTGCTTTTGCCAGATATGGTTGCCAGATTTGTTTATGTGTTGGCAACTCTATTGGCAAATAATGTAGAAGAGGTCGGTAATTTCATAGAGTTTATATTCTAGTCAGGAAAAATGTCTGACATGCTTCTTATTAATGTACTTAGATTAAGTGTTTGAATTTACTTTTCTTTAGATGTCTTTAGATTGTTTCACTATATCACTGACTAGGTTGCCATTGCTACTATTTTGTAGAAGATTAATCACTGTGCTTTTTTCGTCTGACAGCTCTTTTAAACATTTGATTGGAGGGCTGGATGATGTTTCTAATAAAGCATATGAAGATGCAGAAGCTAAAGCAAAGTAAGTGACTTTTTTCCTTAATTTTGATTGCAAAATGATTTTGAATAGAAATAAGATCAAATATTTTGTTGGACTTGACACATCCCAACACTCTGACAGGAAACAACTAATTAGTTGAGAGACAAAGAAGCAAACTCTTCAAGATAATTATTACACGGTATGCTTACCTAGGAGTATGTCTCTCTTCAAACACAAAACTTCAATTTTGTGATGAAGATAATCTCAGCAAGAAAAAATGCTTATTTTAAAATCTAATATAAACAATTAAATGTAAACCTGTTGTTTGTCCTCCAGAAAATACTTTCTGAACAAATGGTGGTTGTGTTCCATAGTTGCTTGTGGAATTGTATCAAAAATAATAAGGCTAGAAATATTTCCCTGTGCTAATACATCATTACATTGAACTTTGATGTTACTAATATGAGAATGATATGAGATGGTAAATATCCCATTAAGTATGATGTTGCATAAAAATACAATTCCGTCTACAAGAATAATTTGATTAAAACAATGTTTTTTGACAAAGATTTAAAGTAAGTTGATATTAGCTTTTTCTGCAAAATTATTATTTTTAAAATACCAGTAATCTATATAATCCTCCCCTCTTTCCCCTAATGTAATTAGTATTTAATAGCATATAGCATACCTAAAGGATTAAATTGACAACAGTTAGCATTAAACAGATAGTTCAGGGCCAGAATTTGATCTGTTGATTTTGTAGTAACCTAAAAATCAAAAGAAGTAAAATAATGTATTTTGCTTTGAGAATCCATGAAGATTAAAAATTTGTCCTAGAACTAAAATATTAAGAATTATATTCTATGTTAACCCAATAAAATTATGTTATTTTCAAAGCTATATGAAAATATTCACAATTTCTCCTCTGTATCCTCTGTATAACCCTGAGGTCAAATGCCTGCAATGCCTCTGCTAAGGTTTGCTTAGGAAGTTACACAGGCCAGTTGTAACACCAGGCTCCATGCAGTCACTGAGACTGCTTATGTTCTGGATAATTAGTATTAATTGTTCTGGTTTATTTCAACAGGCTAAAATGTACATTGATATTCAGTTTAGACTTCAGTTTCTAGTATTAATAATAATCCCACCGAGGTGGGAAAGGGGGTCATTTAAGGTACCTTATCAGTTTTTAAAGTTGTACAATGGCCTTTCTTATGGTTGGGTTCTATTCCTATAGGAATTTTTTTGGTATGTGACAAAATTCATTCTTTTATAATTTATGTCAGCTTATCTTTTCGTGTGTTTGTGTGTGTGTGTGTGTGTGTGTATTCAGTTAAGGGTCTCATTGGTCATTATATATATACATCTTATATATAATTTACATATAGTATATATGTAATTTTATATGTATTACAATTTATATAATTATAATCATATTATACAATATTAAATATACATGTATATGCATATACATATATAAAAGATATAGAACAACTGATGGTAATCTTAAAAATTCACGTACAATCCAGTTAAGCAACTATTAATTAATAGAAAAATTCAAGACTTTTGTAGACTAATGTATTTTTGCTGCTTCCCTATTAAACTTTGAAAGTTTAATCTCATTTTTCCTATTAAACTTTAGAAGGATTTTCTAATGAATGTTTTTGTAGAACTCCTATTTATTCCACTTAAAGTTGAGGCCGCTATCATGCTTCAAATTGATCAGTGATAGGGAAGTGACTGAGTTAGTCATAGGTTTCTCAGTGTCCTATGGACTTTATAAAGATAACTGTGTGTACATCTCCTAAATTCTGGCCATTCATGGATTCACTTGCACATACTTCAATTAAAAGTAGTAAGTAAGAAAAACTGAAACAATGAAATTCAGATATTCAGACAATTAGAGGTAGATATGGCAACAATTCTTAACTTTGGAAGAAAATCAGTCAATATGAAAAACATGAACCTGAATGAAGGCCAGAAGTCTTGGGTTCTGCTCCTGGCTCTGTCATTACCAGACAAGTGATTTTGGTCATGAATATTAACGCCTAACTCTCAATCTCAGTTTTCACATTTTTAAAATGGCGTTTTTGAGATTTAATTGATGGCAGTGTGTAAAAATACTTTGTAAATTATAAAGGTTATAAAAATATGTCACTAGGCTCGTGCCTGTAATCCCAGCACTTTGGGAGGTCAAGGGGGGAAGATCACCTGAGGTCAGGAGTTTGAGACCAGCCTGGCCAACATGGTGAAACCCTGTTGCTACTAAAAATACAAAAATTAGCCAGGCGTGGTGGTGGGCACCTGTAATCCCAGCTACTCAGGAGCCTGAGGCAGGAGAATCACTTGAACCTGGGAGGTGGAGGTTGCCGTGAGCCAAGACCGCGCCATTACCCTCCAGCCTGGGCGACCAGAGCAAAACTCTGTCTCAAAAATAAGTAAGTAAATAAATAAATAAATAAATAAATAAAGTATATCACTAGAAATAACTAGAAATATACCTTAGTGCATTTGACATATAATTGAATTTACAGATTCCATGTCTATTATGTTGATCAATTTTACTTGGACAAGAAGTCTCTAATCTTATGTAAGCAACATACTTTTACTTGAGAAGACTATTATGAAATTAAACCTTGCCTAGAAAACATTCATAAAAATATTTTTAATAAAACAGTAACATTTGATTAAAAGAGAATTCAATTCTAATTAAAGAAGAAAGAAAGGCAATGAAATGACTACTTACATCAAAGTAGTTTCAAATATTGCTATTTGAAACCATTGATTTGATAGATTATAATATAGCCATTATGTTTACACTTTTTCCCCCAGTTTTACTGAGGTGTAACTGAGAAATAAGAATTGTATACAGTTAAAGTGTATATGACATGATGATTTGATACATAGGAATACATTGTGAAATGATTATCACAATCAAACTAACACATCTACCACCTCACATAGTTACTTTTGGGTGTGTGTGGTAAGAACAGTTAATATCTACTGTCTTAGCAAATTTCAACTGTACAGTTTTGTTTGAATTTTCTGCTCAATTCACACTAAACCCAAATGAATGTATAGTCCATGTTTTTTAATATTCATTATTATTTAGAAAATGGTAATTGCTTGATGAAAAAGTCTAAAACCTTTGATCCAAATTCTAGTGAGGCTGATAATATGACCTTTATTCCTAAAACCAGCCAAATAAGTAAATAAGCAAATAAATAAATAAATACTGGAGGAGTTATCGTTGTGTCTTATACACTGTTAGCATTTTATAGTCTTCTAATAAATAATTAATATCGGAAGTTTTCTGAAGTGTAAGGTATCTCTTAATTAGGTGTCCTGTCATTCAAAGAAGGCAAACTGTGAATTATTCCCTAGAGAAAGCTTTCTAGTTGAACTATCAAGTTTAAAACTCTATTTGAATTAGCATTGTTGTTTCTCCGTATTGAATTTCTTCCCCTTAACTACTTTATACTTTCATTTTGTATTTAAGGAATTTATAAGGGTTGCCAATGCTGCAGGGGCTAGGAACCAGCTCTAATTTGTTTAAAATCTGGGATATTTCTGTTAATGCCTCTAAATTTTTATAAGGATCACATTATCTTGACCATTTAGAAAGACAATGTTAATTTGGCTCCACTTTGTAAGCTTTATTTGTTCAGGGTCTTCTTGATGTTTTGCAAAACCTACGGAAGATAAGATTAATATTTCTTAAAGCTCGACTAAAATGATTATGTTAGTTATCCATGGGAAATGGATGTTTGTTATCCATAGTCTCATTGACTATGCCTATTTGGGTAAGAAGCGAAAAAAAGTAGGACTGACTGTAAAGATTGATTAAGTTGAGGCATTTAAAACTTAAATGGTAGTATAATCAAGCTCAATCGCAGAAAGATTTCACAAAATGTACAGACCATCCCAGTAAAACCATACCAGGCATTCAGCTCAGGTAGATAGTCTAGGAAGATTGGCTTGAGAGAAATGTTCCAGTAGAAGTGGTTCTCAAAACTCCTCTACTGCAGGATAGGTGCCCTCAGTCTGTCTCATGAGATATATTTTCTACAAAGATAATTGTTCTTGGCAGAAATTTTGCCTATATGGCATGCTTAAGCTTCTCTTGATTGTTGCTAATTATCCACTGAGGGCTTCTCTTTTTAAAATAGGAAATTATAATCACAAAGACATTAGAAGAGGCAACATCAGATCAAAGCTAAGGTTCACTGAATTTTATTTGGAGAAGAAGGTAGCAGGTGTGGTGAGAGGTACATATTTTCTATTGATAATATGTATTCATTCATTTAATAAACATTAGAAATTTACTTATGGTGAGTCAGGCATTGTGCTTTATAACGTGCACACCAAATAGAAAACACCATTTCCAATACCAAGGATCATCTTACAGTTCAGTAGGGAAGCTGGTATGTAATTGAATGAATACTTTCACTATTTGGTTCTAAGAATAAGTTTTAATAATTATTATGAAATAATAGTATTTGAATATAATTTTTTTTTTTTTTTTTTTTTGAGACGGAGTCTCGCTCTGTCGCCCAGGCTGGAGTGCAGTGGCAGGATCTCGGCTCACTGCAAGCTCCGCCTCCCGGGTTCACACCATTCTCCTGCCTCAGCCTCCCAAGTAGCTGGGACTACAGGCGCCCGCCACTATGCCCGGCTAATTTGAATATAAAATTTTATCTCTATATTGAAGCCTTGCCTTATAAAATTCATAATGATCCAGAAATATAAAAAAATTAAATACTTTGTTAAATATTTCTGACGTGTATAGCTTGTATCTTTGATGTCTTAATTGCTGAATACTCAGCAGTTACAGGCAAAACAGCTATTTCTTCAAATAAAAAAGCCTATATATATACATATATATATGTATATATATGTATATATATGTATATATATGTATATATATGTCTATATATATATCTGTATATGTGTATGTATACACACACACACACACACACACACACACACACACACATATATATAAGCCAAGATAGAGAAAGAAAATGAAAACAATCTAAACCAAACACAACTGCTATTACCTATCTTGGTGTTTTACAGTTGTACTTATAGTGCATTTTCAATTTTATATCTTGCTTTATTCCATTTAACATCTGTGTTAGTCTGTTTTGCATTGCTGTAAAGTAATACCTGAGGCTCAGTCATTTATGAAGAGGTTTATTTGGCATGGTTCTACAGGCTGTACAGGAAGCATAGTTCTGGCATCTGTTCTTGGCGAGGCCACTGGAAGCTTCCAGTCATGGCAGAAGGCAACAGGGCATATCACATGAAGAGAAAGGGATCAAGGGAGATGCCAGGCTTTCTTAAACCACCAGCTCTCACTCTGTGAACTAAGAGAAGGAGAACTCACTTATTATCATGGGGATAGCACCAAGCCATTCAAAAGAGATCCACCCCTATAACCCAAACACCTCCCATCAGGCCCAACCTCCAGCACTATGGATTACATTTTAACATGAGATTTAGACAGGACAAATATTCAAACCATATCAGCATCTTCATATTATAAACATTTATAATACTATTATATACTCTTCATGAAAATCATTTTAATAGTAGCTGACAACCCAATGAATAGAAACTTAGACTTCTAGACTGATTTGAGTTGTAGCCTTGTTGATTCAATGTATTTTGCTTTTAAAGGTGAGATCTCAATTACCTTTTAAGGAAAAAAAAAAAAGCACCAAACAACAAAAACACCTTTGAATACATTCCATCTAGCGATGCTTTTCAAACTACTTTGTGTCGTGACATTCATAGAAAATGAGTACAGTGTTTTGCACCAATTAGTTCAGCTGCCCTAGGCTCCATCCTTCAGTATTGAAGGCTAAAGGGATTCATACCTAAGCCCTTCAATGGGAAGTTCTGACAACTATATGACTATAGATATGTAAATGCACTTAGTTTTTATCTAGATTGATAATAACCAATATTGCTCTTTATTAACTTCTTCTCTTGTCAAAATCTATGTGAAGCCTCCAAATGAGCATGGACAGATAGATTTTCATCTGTAATATCCCTTGGTATACATAAAGATTTAAAGACTCCTTGCAATGCCTCTGTAGTCCCTCATGCACCAGCATCACCCATATTCATTCACCTCTTCATATGCTTTCATCTATTCAACAGTTATTTTCTATGTGCCTACAAAATGCTGCATATAAAACAATGAATAAAATAGATAAGTTTCTTGCCTTAATGGAGCTTATGGTCCAGTGGGGGACTGAGGCATATGTTAATCTTTCTGGGAAGTCTTCTTAGGGGAAGTGACATTTTAACTAGATGTGGCCTGAATTCTGAAGAATTAGCTGGTGCTGGCTAGGCAAGAATTAGTTGGTATTAGTTAAGCAAGGAGGTATGGAGAGCATTCTAGCTGGCGGAACAAATGGAAAGCATTCTACATAGAGGAACAGCATGGAAAAAGCCCTCAAAGTGGGAAGCAACATTATATAGTCAAGGAATTAAAGTAGCAATATGCCTGAGACCTAGAACAAAAGAGAGAAGGAGATCAGAAAGGAGAGAATGACAGATACCAAATCTCACAAGACTTTGTAAGCCACATTAAGAAATCAGGAAATCACATCAGACTTCCAAGCTGGCAAATGAGACGAGTTGGTTTATATTAAAACTGGGCACTCTTGTCTCTGTGATTGAAGGGGTGTACATTGAAAGCAGGGAGAATAATCAAAATATTTTTCATGTTAAAGCTGATAGTAGACAGGAATAGAGTGAGGACAATGTGATTTAAAAAAAAAAAAAGCATTTGAGAGATATTTAGGTGGCAAAGCCAGCAGGTCTTCAGGAAATAGATATAGGTGGTGAAGGAGGAAAAGGTCAGGGAAAATGCAAAGAATTTTGATCTGAATATTGGAGAGAAGTGACAGAATTCACTAAGGTAGAGAAGCATTATATGGTTCCCAGGTTTGGAGAGTAGGGTGATCATGAACTGATTTTTTGACAGTTTAAATGAGGTACTTTTGAGATATGGTTAGGCAGGTCTGGTGCTCAGACAGAAGATTGTTATCAGTTTGAGAATAACGAACATTTCGATGTTAGATAGTAATTGTAGCTGTGGATGAGATAGAAATTAGAGAGTGAGAGGAGCATGGCACTGAGGATTGATTCTTGATGAATGTTAGCATTTAAAGGTTAGAGAAGAAAGAAGAATTTGGCAAAAATTAAAGAAAAGAAAGACTGAGAAGGAGAGATGAAAGGTAGAAGGAACACCACATGCACAGAAACCAAGAATAGACTATGTGTTTTAGTTTGTTCAGGCTGCTATAACAAAATACTGTAAACTTAGTGGCTTATAAACAGTAGAAATTTATTTCTGAGTTCTGGAGGCTGTGAAGTCCAAGATCAAGGCATCAGCAGATTAAATGTCTGCCCATTTCCTGGCATATAGACAGCTGCCTTTTCACTGTAACCTCACATGGCAGAAGGAACAAGAGCTCTCTGGGGTCTCTTTTATAAGGGCACTAAGTCCCATTCCTGAGAACTTGCCCTCATGACCCAATAACCTCCCAAAGGCTCTTCCTCCTGGCACCATCACGATGGGGATTAGGTTTCCACACATGAATTTAGGTAGGAGGCAGTGCACAGTCTACAGCAGTGTGCTTCAAGAATGGGGGAAGAAACAATGATATTACATGTTGCTAAGAATTCTAGTATGTTACTTAACAAATTGGATTTAGCAAACCAGTGGGTTCAGTTTCATTTCACAATGGAGTGGTGGGGATGGAGCCCGCCTTGCAAAGGCTACAAATGAATCTAATTTTCAGAAACAGGATTCAATGAGCTTACACCAAATAATAAGACATTTAAGTAAAATTGCCAGAAATGTGTAAATGGAAGATTATGGATCTTCAGTACTGATAGAGATGTAAGCATGTTAAATCTAGTAGAGAAGAGAGTTTAAGACTGAGCAAGTGGTTCTCAGGTCCTTTTAACTTCATGACAAAGGCAGACCTCTTCAAAGGTTAAGAGTGAGACCATCTCCACGGATAAGGTTTATACCACTTTGTGATGTTATTTCTTGGTTAAGAAGGTCATTACTCTTCAGTCTTATACTGAGTAGCATTCCCTTAGTTTAAAGCATTACCCTCTCTCTAAAGAACCTATAAAAATAATAAATTATCCTAAGAGGAATAAAAAGGTTTTCTTAATATTGTAGTATAAATTTGTCCATAAACTATTTTTCCTGCAAGGATCGCTTAAGCCTTCCTCTGAGGACAAAGAAGAAAGAAGGACACTAAGAAAGAAGGCCCAAATTTGCCAAAAACTTAATAAAAACCCACCTTGTAATGACCATCTTGTTCTGTTCTGCTCTCCTCATCATGCACCTAAATTGTTCACATATTCTCTGCCTTGTCCCCAAAAAGGACATTCATAATAGATTCACATAATATAGGAAGAAAATATTAGAAGTAAACAAGAAAGATGTATCTATGGTAGTGAACCAGAGATAAGGCTAGTATGCAAAACAGGACCCTTATCAGTGCACTGACAAGAGAGAGATGCACAAAAACATTAGTGGCTGCAGGGCTGGCTCTCGCTTATTGCCACTAAAAAAAGAAGTACCACAATCACCCCCCTCTCCACTCCATCGACACTCTGCAAGAGCTGTAGGGAGTATTGCCTACCTGTGTACCACCCTTTTGGCTCTTTGATGGAATAGTCCTTAAATATTTTACTTCTATTTCCGTAATTAGTCCTCATTGATTTTCAAGCCCTCCTGTTTACAAATTTATTTGCAAAGAAACATTTAAGACTGTCTGATATTTTCAGGATTACTTTTGGTGATGAGCCTTCTTGTTTGACACAATGTGACAGCAATAAAAGATGTTCTCTCATTACATTTCATTAGCAGAGACAACCCTTTAGTAACTGATTCTGCCTGTCACAGAGAGGTTGCTCTTCGGCGGCTTTCAGACAGAACGGCTGCTGTTGTTCAGGCCTTTGAAAATGCGCTCATCAAATGCCTCTCAAAGCACCTGAGGCTATGTAAATCAGGACCTAGGTCTGCATTGTTTAGTAACATCTTCTGAAATGCCTCAGGGTCAGCTAGCTTCTAGCAAACAGGAAGTTTCTAAATGCACACTTGAGTACACAGGGGTTGCTGTTTTGAACATGCTGACTGAAATTTGGGGCTATCTTATTGGTGTGTTTTTTTTTTTTTTGGTTTTGTTTTTTTTTTTGCCTGACATTTTCAAGTGAAGATTCTAGTATTCCCATAATCTTATCAACAATTTACTTAAGACAACTTGGTCTTGATCTAAGCAATTCTCAGGGAAATGATCCTGGAAAATTGTTTTCCCCTATGGAACGAATTCAAGTGAGCAATATCCTCTTCCAAAATGGGAACGATATGTCAATTAAATAGACAAAACACTGAGAATGGCATTGTGAAATAGCCCTCAAACCAGAATTAGAACTTGCTGACTATCTGCAGGGTGAGTGGTCAGAAGGCAGCCCCATTTTCTCAGCAATAAAAAATATTTTCTATTTTATTGCAGGGCAAAATATAGGGGACGAAAATATTTCTGCAGTTGGCCCTGAACTAATATGCTGGCTTTCAGTCTTTCAAGAGCTGTTTTTGTTTTAAATTCTAGTACATGTAATCAGACTAGGCAGAAGTATACAATGGTTTCTAAGGCCACCAATGCTGATAGATTAATACTTCAGCAGGATTTGTGACTGCAGAGAATATCAAAATCCAATGCTCTTTCAAGTGCAGTGAGACTGATTCAGTTGCTTTTTTAAAAAAAAATGATTTTCAGGACAAAACTACTCGGCCTTGAATAGAAGTATTTTTCTTTTATCAAAATTTTTTTTTTTTTTTTTTTTTTTTTTTGAGACGGAGTCTCGCTCTGTCGCCCAGGTCGGACTGCGGACTGCAGTGGCGCAATCTCGGCTCACTGCAAGCTCCGCTTCCCGGGTTCACGCCATTCTCCTGCCTCAGCCTCCCGAGTAGCTGGGACTACAGGCGCCCGCCACCGCGCCCGGCTAATTTTTTGTATTTTTAGTAGAGGCGGGGTTTCACCTTGTTAGCCAGGATGGTCTCGATCTCCTGACCTCATGATCCACCCGCCTCGGCCTCCCAAAGTGCTGGGATTACAGGCGTGAGCCACCGCGCCCGGCCTATCAAAAATTTTAAAACTCTCAAAGGCCATTTGCTAATTTTTGCTCTGCAGCGCTTATCTTTGAGACTCTCTAGGTAAGAAGACTTTATAAATGTGAATCCCAGTATGTGCTTGCTTGCAGCCTTTTCTAATCAACAGAGAAGAGGACTACAGATAATTGAAAATTCTAGTGCTGCTGACTTGCTTGGTGAAAACAGACAAGCTACTTGATTGCTGAGTCTGTTTCCTTCTTCCAAGAAATAAAGATGCTTCCTTTCCACCATTGCTGTATTAAGTAATGACAATTGAAAATTACTTTCAAAACGTCAGGAGCTCTTTAAATTCTGTGGATACTTTGGTCCTGTATGGCAATTACCTTAGCCTCTCCAGAGCCCCCAGAGAACAGCCCGATACATGTTTCTTTTCAATAGCTTGATATATAAAGCCTATTTACAGTACAGTACTTTTTAAAAGCAGAAAAGAATAATACCTTTTATATCCCTTTGTGTTCTCAGTAGTTTCATTTGAAAAAATAATTATCTCTATCTACAATTCCTTTTCTTCTTAAGTGAAGGCAGTCTCTATTATTGGAGTGAATATAGCATGCAGCATAATTCTAAAACTGCTTTGCAAGTAAGGTTGAGCAACTCTAGAGATAAAATGTTTGAACCTAGTGAGTGAGAGCAAGGCTAGAAGTGCTGAAGGGCTCCCCCTGAGGAGGCCACATATATTTACATAGTGAGTAGTAGTAGTAACTGGGAGTTTGGAGAGCGAGCCTTAGTTACTGCACAGCCACTAACTTCATGTGAACTTGAACAAGCACCCTGGCTCCTTGGACCCTGTTTCCCAAACTGTAAAAATAGCAATCTTGAAATCCTTTCTAATTTTTGGCTTTAGGCTTCTAAGATGCTTAGAATGTGCACATTAACAAGGCATTCTTTTGGAATCGTAACTCCCTTTTATAGAAACAATATTTTTGTCTTTGCTGATTTTCTAAATTTATAATGAGGATATCTCTCACTGTCAACAGAAAATAGGCTCTTAAGGATCATGAAATAATTTATAAGTCTATGTTGTAACAAAGGTTACTTAAGTTATATGTCCTCATAAAATATTGCTGTTAAGGTGCTTGCTTTATTCAAAAATTTTTTATCAAATTGTGTAGTATTGCTTGAAGCTCATTTTGATAATTCATAGTAATTAAGTAAGCCTTTAGAAAAAGCATTTTCATTTTTATCATTATACAATTTTCTTTCGAATATGGCATTTAGATATGATAATAAGCCCTGCTATCTTTCAATAAAATGCCATTAGAAAATTATAGACTACCTTCGAAACTAGAAAATGTTATACTAATATTTCCCCCATGAATCCTTTTAGAAAGAAGTGATTTGTAAATAATGGATTTAAATGGTAGCATAAATTGTTTTGATACAATGAACATAATATACTATATGAATTTAGATCTTTAACTTGCTATTTGAGGAAGATGAGATGTAGAAGTGAAGCATGACTGGTGCTCAGAGACATTTACATGTATCACACCATTTTCCTCTAATGCATAAATTGCAAGCATTAGTCAACTTTATAAACTCTATTAATTACTTCAGGCAGCCAGCCTATTCCCTAGTATATCAGACATGTAGAGATAAAAGACAAAAGCTACTGCTCTAATATTCAAAAACTGTACAAACATTTTAGAAAACCTAGATACATTACTAATTGAGCATACTGAAGAATAACAATCCTCAAGTCCTTGAAAAGAGGATAAGGCAGCTTCTTAAAATGATGAATTTAAGACCGCTTTCAATTTAAGGACCTGGAAAAGTATGAGTCATTGGGTCTTTAACTAATTACTTATCAGTTTTACTAAGTTTTTTGTTGAAATGACCCTGAAAATTTGGTTCAGCCCAGTATGCCTGTGATGCTAGTAAAATTGGCTTCTCAAAATGTCACAATATCTTTCAGGAAGTTGTTTTCCCAAATCTAGTTCTCTTGCTCACTATGCTAGTAATCAGGTTTTTTTAATTTATTTTTTATTTTTTGGTAAACTCCTTGTAATAGGACTCATGGTTTTTCCTCTCAAGCCCCTTAACTTTATGATATTACTTAAACAATTAAATTAATGATGAAGAACATGCTTTAGTCTTTATAAGAATTCTGCATTTCACATGAGCTCCAAAAAGTTCCCTTAAGTTTAAAGAAAAAAAAAAGGCCATTGAAGAAGTAACAACTTTATAGCAGATGATGCTTTTTTGAGTGACAGCAACAGCTAGGAGAGTATATCAGCTTCTTTCTTCAGGAAGTTGTTGACATACACATTGATTAATATTAATATTCTCTTCTGCACTGACATGAGTGATCAGAGCAATAACTTTATATGCCAATGAATAGAGGGGAGCAGGGAGAGAATTTAAGAAAAAAGGACTATAAAGAAGCATTTAATTACTTATCAAGATGTGATTACCGTACTTCAAATTTTAAAAAACCAAAGAGATAGTATAAAACTATAGCATTAAAAATAATTGCATTATATGGGTTGTGTCTCTATTGCTCATGTTTTTGGCTATTTATTTCATTCATAAGCCACACTAGGAAATCATAAAAATTAAGTAAAAATGCTTCCTCCTCCAAGAAGCACACATATTCCCAGCGACATGTATTTCCAAATAATGAAGCACATATATTCCTAGATAATGTTCAAAAATAGTATGACCAAAGGCAAGACATATCTGCTTTATATGATTTTATTTTTATCTACATTGTTATATCAATGCATCTTTATTTTTAATTGATATATATAACTGTTCATATGTACGGGGTATATAATGATGTTCCAATACATATAATGTATAGTGATCTGATCAGGGCGATTAGCATATTCATCATCTCAAACATTTATGATTTCTCTGTGTTGGGAACATTCAATATCACCCTTTAGCTATTTGAAACTATCATTAACTGTGTCATCCTACAATGATATAGAACATTAGAATATATTCCTCCTATCTAGCTGCAATTCTGTGTCCTTTAACAACTCTCCTTGTCCGCCATTTTCTCCTAATTTTTCCAGCTCCTAGTTTCCTTTGTTTGACTTTTTAATTCTATGTGATCAATTTTGTTTTCAGCCTCCACATATGAGTGAGAACATGCAGTGTACAACTTTCTGTTTCTGGCTTATTTCACTTAACATAATGTCCTTCAGTTCCATCTATATCGCCACAAACAACAGAATTCCATTTTCATGACTGAATAATATTCTATTTTGTATATATACCACATTTTCTATATCCATTCATCTGTTTTTGAATCCATATCAACACCCAGGTTGATTCCATATCTTGGCTATTGTGAATAGTACTGCAATAAACATGGGGAGACAGATGTCTCTTCAATATACTGATTTCCTTTTCTTTGGTTAAATGCCCAGTAGTGGGATTGCTGGATCATATAGTCATTTTCTTTTTAGTTTTTTTCGTGGAACTTCATACTGTTCTCCATAGTGGATATTCTAGTTTACATTCCCACCGACGGTATACAAGAGTTCCGTTTTCTCTGTATCCTCACAACCATTTGTTATTTTTTGTCTTTTTGATAAAAGCTATTCTAACTGGAGTAAAAAGATACCTCATTGTGGTTTTGATTTGCACTTCCCTGATGATTGGTATGTTGAGCATTTCTTCATATATTTGTTGGCCATTTGTATGTCTTCTGTTGAAAAATATCAGTTCAAATCCTTTGCCCATTTTTTAATCCCATTGTTTGGTTTTTGCTGTTGAGATGTTTGAGTTCCTTGTGTATTTTGGATAGTAATGCCCTATTGGATGAATAGTTTGCAAATATTTTCTCTCCTTCTTTAAGTTATCTTTTCACTCTGTTGATTATTTCCTTTACTGTGCAGAAGCCTTTCAGACTGATATAAGTTTATTTGTTTATTTTCACTTCTGTTGCCTGTGTTTTTGAGGCCTTATTCAAAAAATCTTTTCCTAGGCTGATGTCTTGAAGCATTTCCTCAATATTTTATTATTGAGTTTTGCAGTTTGGGGTCTTACATTTCGATCTTTGATCGATTTTGAGTTTTTTCTTTTTCTCTTTTTTTTTTTTTTTTTTTTTGTAGGGTGAGAGGTGGAAGTCTAGTTTCATTCTGCATATTGGTACCCAGTTTTCCTAGCACCATTTATTGAAGGGACTGTTCTTTCTCCAGTGAGTGGTCTTGGCACCTTTGTGAAAAATCAGTTGGCTATAGATAAGAGGATTAATTTTGAGTTCTCTAGTCTGGTCTATTTTTTTCTGTGTCTTTTATTATGCCAGTTTCATGCTGTTTTGGTTACTACAGCTTTGTAGTATATTTTGCAGTCTGGCAGTGTGATGCCTTCAGGTCCACCCTACCACCCACCACCAGGATTGCTTTAGCTACTCAAGATTTTTTATGGTTCCATACAAATTTTAAGATTTTTATTTATTTTTCTGTGAAGAAGGTTATTGATATTTTGATAGGGATTGCATTAAATCCATAGATTGCTTTGGCTAGTATGAACATTTTAACAGTATTAATTCTGATCCATGAGTATAAGATGTCTTTCAGTTTGTATCTTACTCAGTTTTTTTCATCAGTGCTTTGGGGTTTTCGTTGTAGAGGACTTTCACCTCCTTTGTTGAATTTATTCCAGGTATTTTATTTTATTGTAGCTATTGTAAATAGAATTGCCTTCTTTATTTCTTTCTCAGCTAGTTTATCGTATGTGTATAGAAATGTTATTGATTTTTGTATGTTGATTTTGTATCCTGCAACTTTACTGAATTCATTGATTAATGTTAAGGGTTTTTGTGGAGTCTGTAGTTTTTCTCTATATAAGATCATGCCCTCTGCAAGGCTGTAAACAGGGACAGTATGATTTCCTCCTTTCCAGTTTGGATGCCCTTTATTTGTTTCTCTTGCCTAATTGCTCTGGCTAGGACTTCCAGTACTACGTTGAAAAAGATTGGTGAGGTTGAGTATCCTTGTCTTATTCCAGGTCTTAAAGGAAAAGCTTCAGATTTTACCCATTCAGTATGTTAGGTGACTGTCATATATGGCCTTTATTGTGTTGAAGTATGTTCATTCTGTAACTAATTTATTGAGAGTTTATATTATGAAGGGATGTTGAATTTTCTCACATGCTTTTTCTGCATCTGAGATAATCATAAGTTTTTTATCCTTCATTCTGTTGATGGTATGTATGACATTTATTTATTTGCATCTTTTAAACCATCCTTGCATTTCTGGAAAAAAATCCCATTTGATCATGGTGTATTTTTGATGTATTGTTGGATTCAGTTTGCTACACTTTTATTGAAGATGTTTATGTCTATGTTCATCAGGGATATTTGCCTGTAGATTAATTTCTTGATTGTGTCCTTGTCTGGTTTTGACATCAGGGTTATGCTTACTTCATAGAATGAGTTAGGAAGAGTTCTCTCCACTTCCATTTTTGGAATATTTTGAGAATAATTGATAATAAATCTTTAAATGTTTGGTGGAATTCAGTGATAAAGCCCTCTTGTCCCATACTTTTGTTGGGAAACTTTTATTACTGATTTGATCTCATTACTTGTTATTGGTCTGTTAAAGTTTTTGAAATTTTGGGGCTTTCAATCTTGATAGATTTTATGTGTCCAGGAATTTATCCATTTTCTCTAGGTTTTCAAATTTACTGGTGTATAGTTGCTTATAAAAAACCCCCTTATGATCCTTTGTATTTCTGTGGTCTCTATTGTGATGTCTCTTTTACCATTTCTTATTTCATTTATTTGGTTCTTTTTTTTTTCCTTAGTCTAGGTAATGGTGTGTTGATTTTGCATATCTTTTCAAAAAAACAACTTTTTGTTTTATTGAGTTTTGCATTGCTTTTTTTTTTTGGTCTCAATGTTATGTATTACTACTCTGATATTTACTATTTCTTCCCTTCTACTAATTTGGGGTTTGGTTTGTTCTTGCCTTTCTAGTCCCTTGAGATGCATCATTACATTGTTTATTTGAAATATTTCTAGTTTTTTTGATATAGGCATTTCTTGCCATCAACTTGCTTCTTAAGAATGCTTTGCTGTGTCCCATAGGTCCATAAGTTTGGTTATGTTGCATTTCTATTTTCATATGTTTTAAGAAATTTTTAAATTTCATTTTACATTTCTTTCTTCAGTCATTGGTCATTCAGTAGGATGTGGTTTAATTTGTACACATTTTTATAGTTTCAAATGTTCCTCCTGTTAATTGATTTATAATTTTACTCCATGTGGTCAGATAAGATACTTGATATAATTTAAAATTTTTTAATATTTTGAGAATTTTGTAACATATCATCTATCCTGGGGAATGTTCCATATACTGATGAAAAGAATAGGTATTATGAAATTGTTGGCTGAAATGCTCTGTAATATCTGTTAGGTTCATTTGCTCGATGGTGTACTTTAAATCTAATGTTTCTTTGTTGATTTTTTTTTTGTCTAGTTGATCTGTTCAACACCGACAGTGGGATGGATGTTGAAGTTTCCAGTTACTGGGATTTATCTCTCCCTTTAGATCTAATAATATTTGCTCTATATATCTGGGTGCTCTGGCATTAAATGCATATAGATTTACAGTTATATTATTTTCCTGAATTGATACCTTTATTATTATATAATGTCCTTCTTTGTCTCTGTTTGGAGTTTATGACTTAAATCTTGTTTTGTCTGATGTAACTATAGCTACTCCTGTTGGCTTTTGTTTTCCATTTGTGTGAAGTATCTTTTCCCATCCCTTCCTTTTCAGTCTGTGTGTGTCTTTACGGCTCAGGTGAGTATCTTGTAGCCAGCATATGGTTGGGTGTTGTTTTTTTTTTTCTCTTTAATCCATTTAGCCAATCTATATTTTTCAAATGAGAAATTTAATCCATTTTAACTCAAGGTTATTATTGACAGGTGAAGACTTATTCTTGTCATTTGATTCATTTTTTTCTTGTTGTTTTGTATATCCTTTGTTCCTTTCTTCCTCCCTTGTTTATTTTTGTGGTTGGGTGGTTCTCTGTGGTGATAACATTTGATTCATTTTTCTTTTTCCTTTCTGTATTAACGCTGCTGGTGACTTTTATAGTGTTGCATGTTTTCATGATTCTAATTATTTTTTCATTTTCAAATGTGTGACTTCTGGGAGCATTTCTTCTAAGGCCAGTCTACTAGTGATGAATTCCCTTAGCTTTTGCTTGTTTATGACAGATTTTATTTTTCCTTCATTACTGAAGGATAGTTTAGCTTGCCATAATATTATTAGCTGACAGGTCCCCTCTTCTACTTTTGGTACTTTGACTATATCACCCCATTCTTTCATGGTCTTCAGATTTCTGCTGAGAAATCCACTTTTATTCTAATGGGGGTTCCCTTATGTGTGACTTGACACTTTTCTCTTGCTGTTTTTAGAATTCATTCTTTGTTTTTTGCTTTTGACAGTTTGGCTATAACGTGCCTCAGAGAGGATGTGTTTTGGTTGAATATATTTGGGGATCTTCAAGCTTCCTAGATCTGGATGTCTATCTCACAGGGCTTGGGAGATTTTCAGCTATTATTTTATTAGATACACTTTGTTGTTGTTGCTGCTGTTGTTTTTGTTTGAGATAGAGTCTTGCACTCTCACCTGGGCTGGAGTGCAGTGGTTCAATCTCAGCTCACTACAACCTGCACCTCCTGGGTTCAAGCAATTATCCTGCCTCAGCCTCCCAAGTAGCTGGGATTACAGGCACTGCCACCACACCTAGCTAATTTTTTGTATTTTTAGTAGAGATGGGTTTTCACTGTGTTGGCCAGGCTGGTCTCAAACTCCTGATTTCGTGATCTGCCCGCTTTGGCATCCCAAAGTGCTGGGATTACAGGCGTGAGCCACCGTGCCCAGCCTAAATAGATTTTCTGTACCTTTTGATTTCTCTTTCCTTTCTGAAATACCCATAATATGAATAGTTGTTAGCTTAATGGTCCCTCATAAATCGTTTAGGCTTTCTTCATTACTTTTTATTATTTTATCTTTTTTTCCTCTCTTTGTCTGCCTGCGTTATTCAAAAGAGCTGTCTCCAAGATCAGAAATTCTTTCTTTTGTTTGGTTAGTCTGTTGTTGAAGTTCTCAACTGTGTTTTTAAATTTATTAATTAAATTCTTGAGCTCTAAAATCTATTTGATTCTTAATATCTGTCTCTTTGTTGAATTTCTCATTCAAATCATGAATTGTTTCCCGGATTTGTTTAAATTGTCTATCTGTAATCTCTTATATCTCACTGAATTTACTTAGAATTATTACTTTGGATTTTTCTTTGGACATTTTGAACGTTCATTTGGACGTGTAGTGTTGTCTTGTTTTTCATGTGTTTGATGTGTCCCAGTGTTGATTTCCATTCATCTGGTGGAACAGTTATCTCTTCCAATTTTATTGTATAGGTTGGATAGGGAAAGATTTTACTGATGTATGTGGGTCTTAGGATGTTGGTTTATAGGAGTGTGTTGACTTTTATTGTAGTTTAGTGCAGCAGTGTAGTCTCCGTGTAGTTTCTTCAGCTGTAATCCATGCTAGTGATGTTCGCTAGTATCTTAGTGGCCTAGGCTGAGGATTTGTGTTGTTGGTGGTGTAACTTTGCCAGACATCGGCTTGTCAGGCTGTTTCTCAGGTTAGGAGCATGTACATGCGCACGGTGAGTTGGCCAATTTGAGGTCCGGCTCACAGGGATTTGGACCATGGGGCTGTTACTCTGGCTGGGGGCATGGGTGCACAATTTCCTGCCCAGGCTGGGGGCATGCCAGCCAGGTGTGGCCCATGGGGCTGTTTCTTAGTCCTGGTACATGGCTGCCTGGCTTCTCAGCTGGCCTGAGTGTATGTCTGTTGGAGGTGTTTTCCCAGGCTTTTTCTCAGGTCCATGATTTGGGTGTAAGGCTGTTTGGCCAGCCTGGGTGTGTGTCTATCAGGGGCAGCCAATAAGGCTATTTTTCAGACTTGGGATGTGGGTGCACAGTTGCTTGTCCAACCTGGGGGCTTGTCTGCTAGTGACAGCCCTCAGGGCCATTTCTCAGGACCAGAATGGGGTTTCACAGCTCTTGGTTCAGTCCAGGAATGTGTCTATAAGTGGCAGCCCATGGGTCTGTTTTTCAGGCCTAGAACATGGGCACATGGCTTCTTAGCTAACTTAGGTACATGTCTCCTGGGGGTGGCCTGGGACATGAGAACACAGCTGCTCAGTCAGTTTGAGGTCAAGCTGCATTAATCTGTTTTGTGTTGCTGTGAAGGAATACTTGAGACTGGGTAATTTATAATGAAAAGAGGTTTATTTGGCTCACAGCTCTTCTTTTTTTTTTTTTTTTTTTTTTTTTAATTATACTTTAAGTTTTAGGGTACATGTGCACATTGTGCAGGTTAGTTACATATGTATACATGTGCCATGCTGGTGCACTGCACCCACTAATGTGTCATCTAGCATTAGGTATATCTCCCAAAGCTATCCCTCCCCCCTCCCCCGACCCCACCACAGTCCCCAGAGTGTGATATTCCCCTTCCTGTGTCCATGTGATCTCATTGTTCAATTCCCACCTATGAGTGAGAATATGCGGTGTTTGGTTTTTTGTTCTTGCGATAGTTTACTGAGAATGATGGTTTCCAATTTCATCCATGTCCCTACAAAGGACATGAACTCATCATCTTTTATGGCTGCATAGTATTCCATGGTGTATATGTGCCACATTTTCTTAATCCAGTCTATCATTGTTGGACATTTGGGTTGGTTCCAAGTCTTTGCTATTGTGAATAATGCCGCAATAAACATACGTGTGCATGTGTCTTTATAGCAGCATGATTTATAGTCATTTGGGTATATACCCAGTAATGGGATGGCTGGGTCAAATGGTATTTCTAGTTCTAGATCCCTGAGGAATCGCCACACTGACTTCCACAATGGTTGAACTAGTTTACAGTCCCACCAACAGTGTAAAAGTGTTCCTATTTCTCCACATCCTCTCCAGCACCTGTTGTTTCCTGACTTTTTAATGATTGCCATTCTAACTGGTGTGAGATGATATCTCATAGTGGTTTTGATTTGCATTTCTCTGATGGCCAGTGATGATGAGCATTTTTTCATGTGTTTTTTGGCTGCATAAATGTCTTCTTTTGAGAAGTGTCTGTTCATGTCCTTCGCCCACTTTTTGATGGGGTTGTTTGTTTTTTTCTTGTAAATTTGTTTGAGTTCACTGTAGATTCTGGATATTAGCCCTTTGTCAGATGAGTAGGTTGCGAAAATTTTCTCCCATTTTGTAGGTTGCCTGTTCACTCTGATGGTAGTTTCTTTTGCTGTGCAGAAGCTCTTTAGTTTAATTAGATCCCATTTGTCAATTTTGGCTTTTGTTGCCATTGCTTTTGGTGTTTTGGACATGAAGTCCTTGCCCACGCCTATGTCCTGAATGGTAATGCCTAGGTTTTCTTCTAGGGTTTTTATGGTTGTAGGTCTAACGTTTAAATCTTTAATCCATCTTGAATTAATTTTTGTATAAGGTGTAAGGAAGGGATCCAGTTTCAGCTTTCTCCATATGGCTAGCCAGTTTTCCCAGCACCATTTATTAAATAGGGAATCCTTTCCCCATTGCTTGTTTTTCTCAGGTTTGTCAAAGATCAGATAGTTGTAGATATGCGGCATTATTTCTGAGGGCTCTGTTCTGTTCCATTGATCTATATCTCTGTTTTGGTACCAGTACCATGCTGTTTTGGTTACTGTAGCCTTGTAGTATAGTTTGAAGTCAGGTAGTGTGATTTGGCTCACAGCTCTTCTACCTGTACAAGTATGGCACTAGCACCTGCTTAGCTTTTAGTGAGGCCTCAGGAAATTTTTACTCATGCTGGAAAGTAAAGGGGGAGCAAGCATTTTATATGATGAGAGAGGGATAAAGAGATAGAGGGGAGGAGGTATCAGGTTCTTTTAAACAATCAGATCTCATGTA
Organism: Homo sapiens; assembly: GCF_000001405.40. Taxonomy (NCBI): domain Eukaryota; kingdom Metazoa; phylum Chordata; class Mammalia; order Primates; family Hominidae; genus Homo; species Homo sapiens. The sequence continues at coordinate 52,183,059 of NC_000010.11, forward strand.
AACTCATAGAGTGAGACCTAACTCATTACCATGAAGACATCACCAAGCCATTTATGAGACATCAACCTCCATGGCCCAAACACCTCTCACTAGACCCCACCTCCAACATTGGAGGTCACATTTCAACATATGATTTGGAGTGTACAAAACATCCAGACCATATCCTGTACCTGCCTGGGGCAGCCCACGGGCTGTTTCCTAGGCCCTTATGAATATGGGCATGGGGCTTTTGGGCAGGACAGAGTCATTTATGCAAGAAAGTGGGTACAAAGGAACTGTTTCTCAGGACCTGGGCGTGAGTATGTAGTGGCTCTCCTTGCCTAAGAGCATGTCAGCTGTTCTGTGGCACAAGGAGACCTCTCCCATTTGGGGAAGGGCCACAGCATTTTGGCTGTCTCAAGGGCAGGTTCTTCCTGGGTGGGACTGCCAGACTGTTCCTCCAGCTAGAAGTGTGGGTGGCAGGAGTTGGTTTTCCTACCGTCCAGGGCCAGAGTCATAGCTAATCCTGGGCCTAGGCTCTTCACAGCTTGGGTTATGGCATTCAGCCACCCATGTGGGCTTGGTGTAATGAAGATGGAGCCCCACTGCTGGATAAAAGTGTAGTGCCTACTGGCACCTAGAGGAGGGCATACTCCAGATGTGGCTCTGGTCTCAAGATGGTGCCATGATGCAACAGCTTGGCTTACAAAGCCTGGGTGGGGGTGAGGGAGTGCGCATGTTGTGTTCCTAATCTAGAGCAATGCAGCCATGTGAATTCATGGCAGCTCTTCAAACTGAGCTCTGGGCTTGCAATGACTATGGGATTCTCTGTAATATGAATTATCCTTATTTGTGATGGCAATGGGGGCTGCTAGTGTTCTTCCATTTACCTTTTCCCTACAGGGGGAAGTCCCTCCTGTCTCCAGGTCAATCCAATGTGTGTAGAGGAGATGAGGCTGCAGAGGTCAGGTGCCTCCCTGCTGCCCTCCTGGGCTTCCAGTCACCATGGGTGCCTCACTATTTCAGTGCATTCCCTTTGACACTCCAATGAAATTTTAGCTGTTTGTTCATTGCTTTGTCCCCTTCGTCAATCTATATTATTTTATTTTGTTAAAGTTTTGCTTTTTAAAATGTTACTATTCAAGAAAATAAAAATGAAACAGTTAAGAAATTAATAAAATTAACTTTGTATTATTCAAGCACATAATACTGCCAATATTTGAACATTTTTAGCCTACAAAAATGACAGTTTCATATGGTTCAACCTATGATTTTATAAGTAATTTCTGCTGTTGTGATTACTGCACAGTACTTAAGAATTAAAACACTCTCATCCATATCATGATATATTATTTAATTTAGAGGCTGAATTTCCTTCTAGATGTACCAGTGTTTATCAAATTATAATTTTAATAATTTCATAAACATTTCTAAATTAATCTATTCATAGGCTTGTTTTATAAGCCTAGGCCTTTTACTATTTTTTGTAATCTTAGCAATGTTACAGCTATACATAAAAATAAGGGATTTTTAATCTCTGCACTGTTGACATTTCAGGTGTGCTAGACCATTTTTATGTTACTATCAAGAACTACCTGAAGCTGTGTAATTTATATAGAAAAGAGATTTAATTGGCTCACAATTCTGCAGGTTCATCAGGGAGCATAATGCTGGCATCTGCTACTGCTGTGGCCCTCAGAAAGCTTCCAATTATGGCAGAAGGCAAAGAAGGAGCAGGCATATCACATGGCAAGAGCAGAAACAAGAGAGGGTGGGAGAGGTCCCAGACTTTTAAACAACTAGATCATGTATGAAGTAACGGAGCAATAACTCACTTATCACGAAGAGGATGATGCTCAACCATTCATGAGGGATCCACCCCCATGATCCAGTCACCTCCTACCAGGCTCCACCTCCGACACTGGGAACCACATATCAACATTAGACTTGGAAGGAACAAGCATCCAAACTGTATTATTCTGCTGCTGGCCCCCTAAATCTTATGTCCTCACATTGCAAAATATAATCCTCCCCTCCCAATAGTCCCCCAAAGTCTTACCTCATTCCAGTGTCAAGTCCAAAGTCTTAAGTCTTATCTGAGAGTTGTCTTCTTCCACCTATCAGACTGTAAAATCAAAACAAGTTATTTACACCCAAGATACAATGGTGGTATAAGCATTGGGTAAACATGACCATTCCAAAAGGGACAAATTGGCCAAAAGAACAGAGCTACAGGCCCCACATCAGTCCAAAATTCATCAGGGCAGACATTAAACCTTAAAGATCCAAAATAGTCTCCTTGGACTCCACATCCCACATCCAGTGCACACTAGTGCAAGAAATGGTCTCCCAAGCCCACTTGAGTAGCTCCACCCCTGTGGCTTTGCAGGGTGTACCCCCTGTGGCAGCTGTCATGGGTTAGGATAGAGTGACTGTGGCTTTTCTAGGCTCATGATGCAAGCTCCCTGTGGCTGTACCCTTCTGGGATATGGAGGGTGGAAGTCCCCTTCCTATAGCTCCAATAGACAATGACCTGGTGGGGACTCTTTGCAGGGGTGGCTTCAACCTGATATTTACCCTCTGTACTGCCCCTATAGAAGTTATCTGTGAGGGCTTCACTCCTGTGGCAGCTTCTGCCTCGGCACCCAGACTTTCTTATACATCCTCTGAAATCTAGGAGGAAGCTGCCAAGCCTCTTTTACTCTTGCATTTCGTGCACCTGCTGACTTTACACCACAGGGAAGCCACCAGGGATTATGGTGGCTTATGCTCTCTAAAGTGGCAACTTGAGCAGGATCTGGAGGCTTTTGAGCCAAAGATGGAGCCAGAGCAGCCAGGATGCAAAGAGCAGTGTCCCAAGGCTGCACAGGGTAGCAGAGACCTGGGGCTGGCCCCTGAAACTATTCAGTCCTCCTACGCCTTTGGGCCTGTGATGGGAGGGGCTGTCCCAAAGGTCTCTGAAATGCCTTCGAGGCCTTTTGCCCATTTTTAAATACCCTTATAGCAATGCCCCACTCCTCTGTATCAATTTTCTGTGTTAGGCCACTTTTGCATTGCTATAAAGAAATAACTGAAGCTGGATAATTTATAAAGAAAAGAGATTTAATTGGCTCATGGTTCTGCAGGCTGTACAAGAAGCATAGTGCTGGCACCTGCTTCTGGTGAGAGCCTTAGGAAACTTCCAGTCATGGTGGAAGGGAAAGGAGAAGCAGGCATATCATAGGATTATAGTGGTAGCAAGAGAGAGAGAGGTGGAGCATCCCAGACTTTTAAACAACCAAATCTCATGTGAACTAACTAAGCAAGAACTCACTTATCACCAAGGGACTGTTGCTTGGTGTGATTTGCCCCTATGATCCAATCACCTCCTGCTATTCCTGAAGGATTTTCCCCCAGGATCCAATCACCTCCTGCTATTCATGAAGGATTTTCCCCCAGGATCCAATCACCTCCCACCAGACCTCACTACCAACGCTGGGAATCACATTTCAACATGATATTTGGAGGGGACAAGCATTCAAATTACATCATTGGATGAGGTTATTCTTTGTTGCGTTATGTATCTTGTACATTGTAGCATGTTTAGTAGCATCACTGGCCTCTACCTACTAGATACCAGCAGCATATTATACATCCCAACTCTTGAGTTATGGCCATCAAAAATGTTTTAAGACATCACTAAATACATGTGGAGGAGCCAAAATCACCCTCATTTGAAAACCATTGCTATAAATAGAAGAAAAATAAATACAAAATTATTTGGGAAAACAACACTAAAATTACATTAGTATCAGGCATGGAATTTTATCAGGTGTTGAAAATGAGCCTCGACTTACTATAATTTTATGTCTAAAAGAAAATTTTAGGTGCAATGTGGAAGTCTCACAATTTGTATTTGACAAGACTTTTAAGCTTCACAATGGCAGGGTTTGCCAAAATCTGATTAATACAAATGTTAGACTAAAACCAAATTTTATAAAATAATTTATGCACATTCAATTTAGTTTCATAGGTTTATCTCCGATATTCAAGATTTAGAAAACTTTATTTTTACTACTTCAAAAAAAATCAGAATTTTAAGGATTATCAGACAATTAATTCACTTGGATAATCTGGCTTATCAGGATGCTAAAACTTTGATATTGTTTAAGATGTTAGACTTGGTAAATTTACTGAAGCTGGGAAAATACTTCATCTCAGTTTGCTTCTACACATTGTTGACTGGCATTTTTTTACATTAGATGTTAAGTCACTATAGTAGCCTCAAATGTATAATACAATGAATTTTCTTTATTTTCATATAACCCCTGAGTTACAGTAGTAAAACATGGCATTATATTAAGACAGAAAACACAAAAGAGATTTTAGGTAAAAAAAAAATTTATAATAGAAGACTGATATTACACTAGTAATATGATACAAGTGTATATTGTGAAACTGAATGCCCTATGAAAAACAATGAGTAGGCTACAGGCAAAAATAAGTGTTTATGAGAACTGGAAGTCACAAATTTGATAGTCTCTCCAAATCGCAGCATTTTTACATTACAAGTTCTGTCAACATGGTTTCATTAACTTTTAAAAATAAAGGGCATGACATTCTTTAAATTCCACCTTTGTGGTAATCACTAACAATAGATTCTGCCAGCACAATGCTATATTGTCATTCTGCTGCTCGTTGACATGATAACTAATCCCCAAATGCTACCATGAGCCAAACACTGGTCAATCTGACTTCCTGTTGATTGAGGGAAGACTCAGAAACAATTAGGGAGACACAACTATGTCAGCTGATAAGGTATTGTCATCTGTACATCCTCAGGTGCAGTAAGTGGACATTTAAAATGCAGATAATGTTGGAATTTTTATGCAAAAGAAGAAAGCAGAGTTTGGAACGTGATAGGATGTAGAATTGTTAAAAGATCTCAAGGAGAATAATAAATTAAAACAGTAGACTGCTGGAGTTATTGTAAAACAGTAGACTTTTACAATGGTTTTTAAACTGTGAGTTACAAACCACTAGGGAGTCATAAAGTTTATTTAGTGGATGATGACTAGCATTTTTATTACTTCAGAGTGCATGGTATGTACTAGTGTTGCTTTGTGCACTTTTTCATATTCACATATATAAGGAATGGGTATGATATCTATGTATGTGTGTGTGTATATATATATGTGTATATATATACATATGTATATATATACATATATATGTGTATATATATACATATGTATATATATACATATATATGTGTATATATATATGTATATATATACATATGTATATATATACACATATATATATATATTTCTTTTTGTTTGATTTTTTTGAGATGGGGTCTCAGTCTGTTGCCCAGGCTAGAGTGTGGTGGCATGATCATAGCTCATTGGAGCCTCAACTATCTGAGGCCAAGTGATCCTCCGACCTCACTCAGGCTTCCAAGTAGCTGGAACCACAGGCATGTGCCACCATGCCTGGCTAATTTATAAAATATATCTTAATGTGCATTGGAATAAAAAAAAGTTTGGAAACCATAATGAATGAATATAAATGTCTCCCTCCCAATTCATTTACACTATTCATTATAATTTTAATTTCTTTTTAAAGAAACAGATGATTTCTATTGTGTGCACTGAATAGTTAGACTTACATTATGGCTACAGATTGCCTCCTCATTAGCCAATTGATTACCTTAAAAATGTGTGCAGTTGAATCCAAAGAGCAGAAGAAAATAATGTAAGAGAGACAAGGTGCACATCTTTCAATATAAGCACATATCAATCTAGTAATGTACTGGTAGTATTATCTCCATATTCAAAGAACAGTACATCATTATTGTGTGGAATTAATTATGAAAACACTTAAAGAAATTCCAATATGTCAGACATGTACCAGGCACAGAGAATACGAAACCCAAGTTCTGTTCTCTCCTCTTTAGAAACTTAAAATCTAATAAGAAATATGGCATTTATATTGTTTATTGTGAGGTTATTTAATAAGAAGGAAAATATGCAATGTTATTTGAGCAATAGAAGGGGCATCTATATCAGTCTAAGAGTTTTTGTCAATTTTTATCAAAATACTTTTCTGTATAAAGAAAATTTATAGGAATGTCTTGAGCCAAGGAAGGATATCATTCATGTAGATTTGTTTGCAAGTATCTATCGATTCTGTTACTTGTAGCATTATAAGATGTGTTGCTGATAAAATTGTGATAAAAGTGTGGTTTAAAACTTTCCTTTTACTTCGCAATCCTTCCCCACTTCTCCTGCAGGTATATGTTTGTGAACTGAGGAGGCTGATAAGGTCAAGAGTTCCACTCATTCATCCCAGACCAGGGGTTCCCAATCACCAGGCCATGGACTGCTCCATGGCCTGTTAGGCACCTGGACACAAAGCAGGAAGTGAGCAGTAGACAAGCGAGCATTACTACCTGAGCTCTGCCCCCTGTCAGATCCGCGGCATTAGATTCTCATAGGAAAGCAAACCCTATTGTGAAATGCACATACAAGGGATCTAGCTTGGGCACTCCTTATGAGAATCTAATGTCTGATAATATGAGGTGGTACAGTTTCATCCTGAAACCATTTATCCCACCCTCAATCCATGGGAAAATTGTCTTCTACAAAACCAGTCCCTGATGCCAAAAAGGTTGGGGACTGCTGCCCTAGACCCCTCATGCTCTGGTGGATTTATTTCCATTGCCAGTTATCAAATTAGTTGATTTTGAACCTACTACATTTTAAAAGAATGATACTGATCAGGTTGTAATATTTGCATTCTGTTTACAGATGCAAGGAAAGCAAAAAGTAGATTTATCCTGCCATTGAGGGCTGTTGTCAGCTTTTTAGAGCCACATCTTTAATAATGAGTATTCTCATTTATATCCTTAAGCTGCTCTTTAGAATTTGAAAGCATTGATAATCCTATAATCATCACAGATGCTAATCAATGCAGGTTTATCTGTGTATTTATTGGAGACATAGTATCTATTTGCTATAAAATATAGGATAAGCCCCTGCTTATGAAAACTCTTAACCAGAAAGCTCAAATAGTCCAAATTAGTTTTGTGACAGTGGATACTGGTAACAGTGAGGAGGAGGAAAATCATCAGGAGCCCATAAATTTTTAAGCAATAGAATGAAATTTTATGTGTATTCAGTACTTCATTCTTTCAAAATTGACAATTGAGCTCTACAACTTTTACAAAATAAATACCAGTAATTAAAATGCTCAAGTAATTGAAATGACACAAATCCCAAAGAATATGGAAAATTCAAATGTATTCTGTTAAAACAGAATACATTATTATTAATGAGGCAGACAAATGCATTCAAAAGCATTTTGTTAAAGGTTAAAATTCTGTTAAATAAAACATAGTCCCATTTTACTTACATTTTTAATAAATATGAATATGGTGATAATGACAATAATGGGTAACACTTGTTGGGCCCTTAGTACGTGTCAAGCATGAATTACCTGATTTAATCCTAACAACTCTATTAGAAAAATATTCTTATTTTACCTGATTTTACAGATTCAGAAATTGAGGCCTATGGAGGTTTAAGTCTATGTCACACAACTTGTAAATGGTACAGTGGAGATTAACTCTGACTACCAGATGTCTATTGCCAAAGCCCATTTGTGCACTTTTAGATACTTAACTGTTTCACATGTATGTTTGCATAAGATACTTTTGTAAACCTTGTTATTATGAAAATTGTCAAGCAGAGAAAGTGGTGCAATGGACCCCTTCCCTTAAGATTCAACATTTACCAACCTTTTGCCACAACTGCTTTGTCGAGTTCTTTAAAAAAAAATTTACTGATATATTTTAAAACAAACCAGTGAAAGATCATATTATTTCCTCCCAAATACATCCTTCTATATGTATCTTCTAAAACTACTGACACTTTCCTACATAATCACAATATTATTATCACACTTAACAAAATGAGTAGTCATTTTTCAATTTTCCTCAATTTTCTCAAACACCTCGCTTTTAAAGTTGATTTGTTTGATTCAGGATCAAAAGAATCTGCATACACTGTATGTTGGTTATGTCTCTTTAGGCCTCCTTTAATCTAGAGGAGTCTCCCTACCCTACGATAGTCCTATTAGGCATTTTGTTTTGTTGAGACAGTCTCGCTCTGTCGCCAAGGCTGGAGTGCAGTGTCCTGATCATGCTCACTGCAGCCTAGACCTACTGGGCTCAAGGTATCATTCTCCCACCTGCCGAGTAGCTGGGAGGGCAGGAACACAGCAGGAGTGGCAGGAGCCATGCTCCAGCTATTTTTTTTTTTTTTTTCTTACAGAGATGGGGTTTTGCCATGTTGCCTAGGCTGTTTTCAAACTTCTGGTCTCAAGCAATCCACCCGCCTTGGCCTCCCAAAGTGCTGGGATTACAGGCATGAGCCACTGAACATGGCCTGGGTTGTTAAAGAAACTGAATCATTTGTCCTGGTGTAAATCCACTCTTCCAGATTATCCTATTGCTTTTTAATCATCTACGTTCCTCTTGATAGCCTTTGTAAAGGTTCATTAAACCTACATGATTGATTAGACTTGTTTTCTACTTTTTGGGCAAGAAGATTTCGTAGGAGGTTTATTAAACTTCAATATTAGATTATAATAAAAGGCCAATAGTGCTTGGTCATTTCACTTGCAGCTACATGAAGTTGGATCAGTGAATTAAGAGATAACAATGTAATCCTTTTCCTACAAAGTTTTCAATCAATATTTTGTTAAATGTTTTAGTACACAATGATGATGATTGCCTGAATCAGCTATCTCATTAGGTTTTTAATAGAATTATTATCCAATTTATTTTTTTCTTTGTATTTATTCCATCTATTAATTGGAATTCTTCTCTGAAAAGCTTTTCCCATATCAGTTAGGAATCTGATATACTGTTTATCCTCATTCATTCAAGACAAGCATGATAAATGCTGTTTATTCTTTCCTATTAATTATCAATTTTCAGAGTAAGTAATTGGAGCACCAATTGGTGCTTTTGGTGACAAATCAGATTTTTAAAATTTTGCACATTTAAATTTTTTCCACATTTTTTGGTATTATGAATTTGTGGATTTTTATATATTCAATATGTTGAGTCAATTTCTTTCTGGGAGCCTCTTTAGGTTGGTTCCTTGTTTCTTCTTGATACAGCCTGTTAGTTGCCAGTAACTCCCTTGTTTTCTAGACAGTAAGATGCCCAAGGTTTTTCATGTACATTTCCTCCCCTGGACCTAAGATCAGCCATTTCTCAAGTAACCCTTATTTCTTTTAGCCAGAAATGGTACTAAGTAAGTATGGTCACTGCTATTGGCTTTCTTTGTTTCTAGACATTTTTAGGAGGAAGAAGTTCAGATAATAATTTTTTAAAATAAATATATTATTTAACTCACAGTATGCTCTACCTAATCTTGCAGTATTCCCATTTTATTCTAAGGGAGTAGCATATTAAGTTACAAACTACATGTATGATTCTTCAAGAAAGAATTTTTCATCAAGCGTTTTAGATTGATATTCTCAATTTCCACCTATGTTCATAAAGTCAAAGGGACTTTTTATTATTTTAGGAGGAAGTCAAGGATAAGAACTTTGCTTATGCAACTAATTGAATTAATCTTTTTCCAGATATCAATAAATATCACAGCCTCCACAGAATTGGTAACTTTCTAAGATATTAAGTATTTATATAAAAAGAAAAAAAATATATATTTGTTTGGATGTATAACTTAGTTTGCATTAGAAATTCCTTTCTTATATTAGAATTTAAGGAGATAGAAACCTCATTTGTGAGTTTTAAAAAACATAGTAAGCTGTAGATTTTTTTTTCACCCAAGCAATTTCCATGTAAGACAGTTGAGGCAAAAGGCTTTACAATATCCATGTCACTCTACTTCTATTAATTTTCGTCTTTGTTAAGACCTTAATTTCATTGCTGGGGTCTCTTCCCTTTGGCCTATAATATTTTTAGTTGGCAGGAAGTGCAGTAGTTAAGAGTGACTGCTACTGAGTTCTCCTAGAGCAACAAAGGCTCTAGTTTTCTCAGCCATTTGCCCAAATCTCAATCTTCATAGAGGAAATATTAAAGGAAAAATATGGCACCTTAGAAATTGTCCATTGTGGGAAAAGCAACAGGAAGCTTTTTTCTCTCTGAAAACCTATACATTTTACTTAACCATTTGACTCAAACATCTTAGAACTATTCTAAATGTCGGGCCGGGCGCAGTGGTTCATGCCTGTAATCCCAGCACTTTGGGAAGCAGAGACGGGTGGATCACCTGAGGTCAGGAGTTTGAGACCAGCCTGGCCAAACATGGTGAAACTCCATCTCTACTAAAAATACAAAAAAATTAGCCACGCATGGTGGCAGGTGCCTGTAATACTAGCTACTTGGGAGGCTGAGGCAGGAGAATCGCTTGAACCCAGGAGGTGGAGGTTGCAGTGAGCTGAGATTGCACTAGTGCACTCCAGCCTGAACAAAAAGAGTGAGACTCTGTCTCAAAAAAAAAAAAAACAAAAAAAAAAAACAAAAAAAAAACTATTCCAAATGTCATTTAACACTGTGGATTTTTATTAACTAGGATCTTTATTTCAAAGGACAGCCTACATTTCAAGTAAGTAATAACTACCTTGTTTAACAAACAACATCAACAAATAACTTAAAACATATACAAAGAAAGCAAAAGGCAAATCTTCCTTTTTAGAAGCAAGTACTATAACCAGTTTCCTCTGGATCCCTTCAGAGATTCAAATACAATTAACTTGTATTTAAGTTAAAATTGGTTGCTTTTTTAAAATGTATGATTTTTAGAGGAGCAGAATGTGGGAAGTAAACAATAATTTGGACGAAACTCCAAGTAGATTTTATAAGATTTCTCTAAATCCCTTTATGTGCATTGAATAATTATTTTTCTATTTTAAATGTCTATCTAAAAGGTAGCTATTTTGTCTCTTATATTTGGTAAAGATCAAAATGTATGTATTAAGAATGTAATAAATAACTAGTTCTTTTTAAAGATTTTTTATTTTGTTGTTTTATTTTACATGATAACAGAAAATTCAAACAGTACAATAAAAAATAAAGAAGAAAACAAAACACCCCCAAGACTCACCACCAATAACTAGTTCTTAACAGAAATTGCTAAGTTCTATTAGCTGGAAACATAATTTCCTGTTTTTGAAGATCGACTATTATTCTATATCATTTATTAGGCCACTGCACATATTCTTATCTGTCTAAATAATTGAAGCTCCTAATAAAAAACAACCCTGTCAACTTAGACCTAAATGGAGGTGTTTTACCATTTTATTCTTTCTCCACAGTTTCCATGGAAACATGACGGTTATGACAATGCAGGAAGGGAGAATGATGACTGTTATTCAAAGATAAAAATGATCACAGAACTAAATACTTAGGATTAGTAAGAACTTAAAAAGCACCCTGGAATTAGTATTTGAGTTATTTAAGTAGTGAAGAGAAAATTAAATACATATTCACCATGTAAGGTAAAACACAGCTAATGTTTTCTCGCTAAAGTTTCCGTTTATGTGGCCTTTGTCTCTGGTTTTAACAATGTGAAGCTAAATACCAGAACAGTGTTTGATCAATGAAGTTCAATATTTAAAAAATAGAAAGTAAATTTCAATTTAGCTATCAATGCTAAGAAATTTGAAAAATAATCTTTTTTCCTGTAATGTTTTACCTATTGACAATATTAAAGCACAATAAAAAGCTATATCCAGGTAATGACATTTTCATTTAAAAAATGAAATGTAGCACAATTAACTGTCCCAAAGCATCAGCCACTTGCATCAAGGTAATAAAACAGAACCTTTTACTATCTGAGCTAATTAGTATGAAATAATTAGGGAGACCACCTGAGGGCTTCCCTTACAGTGACACTTGCTGTATTGAATTACTATGGTCTTATCCACCTCAAATTGAACTCTGAGAAAGTACCAGTTTAACACTTAAGTTAAATGCCTGAGAGATATTTTACTGAAATGAATGTTTAGATGGTTTTGTGATGAGAAAGAAATAGATCACATCATTTGGTAAACTAGTGTTTTTGGCATAACTCCTATATAAATGAAAATGGAAAGAGAGATGTATGCAAAATGGAATGTCCAGAAAACTCAAAGTGAGCTGGTTTAATGCCACTGCTTTTCATGTTTCCTGTTTTTGTTTTTTTTTTTCTCTTTAGCTCGAATAATATTAGTTTGTTTAGAAGACAACTAGCACCAAAATGAAGGTGTTGCTTTTGAGCATAGCTACCCATTTTATATATTTATTAACCAAAACTATATCTATAATCAAAGAGCATGCATAAGATATCAACCAGCATTCTTAGTGATGTTGGTCCTAATAATTTTGTTAGTTGGATTTTTCTCTAAGTAGCAGAATTAGAATTGGTTGATGATCCAAGTCTCTGTCTAAACTTCTTGATCTTCTTTTCAACCTATAAATACAGATAGAGTTTATCAATGTGTGCTGGGTTCATTATATTACTGGAAGATTGCAAAACACAAGCGTGTTTTTAAAAACCTGCCATTCTTATTTACAACTCTTCAAAATTAAGCTAAGGCTTTTAAATTTGTTAATTTTTATTTACTTTAGTGATCACTTATAAGTAATACCTCACATTTTTAAGCCCATTCTTACTGACTTCAAATTTTAGAGTGTCCGAATGACAATCAGTTTTTAATTTTAATTAAATATTTTTATCAATTTTGAATTAATTATATTTATGGATTAATTATCCTAATGGAATCATTTAAATCAAAAACTTATAGTCAGATATTTGCCAAGAACATTTTGTGTTAAAATATATGAATTGGATATAGTCAGGAAAAAGTCTAACCCTATGATTTTCATGGTTCAAATGAGAACTGAAAAAATGGAAATTGATCCCAATTAGTGATGTGTGTAATGGTTGATTAAACATGCAAAAAAATGTTTTTTGTTTTTTGTTTTTTTTTCCTGAGATGGAGTCTCGCTCTGTTGCCCAGGTTGGAGTGCAGTGGCACGATCTCGGCTCACTGCAAGCTCCGCCTCCTGGGTTCATGCCATTCTCCCACCTCAGCCCCCCGAGTAGCTGGGACTACAGGCACCCGCCACCACGCCTGGCTAATTTTTTTTGGTATTTTTTAGTAGAGACGGGGTTTCACCATGTTAGCCAGGATGGTCTCGATCTCCTGACCTCATGATCCGCCCTCCTCAGCCTCCCAAAGTCCTGGGATTACAGGCGTGAGCCACCGCGCCAGGCCAAGAAATTCTTTAAGGATCATACTTGAGTCTTGTCTTTGTTAACACCTTAATTACCTAAAAGATGCATTCAAGAAATCTATAATTCAAAATGTAGGTGTTATTCCCTGGGAAGTATTGCAAACACATGAGAGGAAAAGAATGCACAAAATGGAGCAAGTTGGAAAGGAAATTAATTAAAACATAAATTAGAAAAGCAAGGCTCACCAGCTTGCACCGTAGTCGTCTGAAACTCATATATTTACCAACAACGAAAGATACTCATTTTGGTTAGATGAAAGCAGGAGGTTTGGGAATTATCTAAGGAGACTCCAGGGTGTGTGTTAGCTAGTAAATTAGAGGTGAACTTGCTAATGCAGCATTATACTGCAGCAGAAGTAGAGCTGGTATTATTGGGGATTTGTGGGCAGATAGGATCTATTAGAAGTAGATAATAATTATATAAATAAAACTTCCCTGGGTGAAGGATTCTCAAAATATTTTATATTATAAAATCCATATTTCAAAACCTCTTTGAAATAAGTTATTATGATAGTGTCATGCTGAATAAATCTACTATGATTGTATACTAATTATGATATAGACATTAACTAAATAGTAGAAAGTGCTATTTAGTGTAGCAGTATCTCTAAATCTGTGTTCATCTTAGACAATACTTTAGGCAATAATAATAATAGTAGCCACAATAGTAATAGCAAATGTGATGGAGATGCTCACTTTGTGCAGGTTCACTACAATTTTATTAGGAAAACACTTGTAGGTTTCCATTTTATAAAGGATGAAGCAGATACAGATAAGTTTTTTTTTCCAGCTTTTGTCTGGACATTCAGATTTTTTTGTGTATTTCCTCGTAAAGTTAAGTAATCAGTGTTAGATCTCAGAGTTCTAAATTGAACCTTGCTTCATGAGATAATCTCTAAAGATGCAAAAGAATTGGATCCCTTCATACATTCCACCCCAGCATGAGAAATGAGCTCATGTTGGACTTCAAACATAGGCTGGATAAAAATAAGTAAACATGTCAACTGAGGACAAGATTATACCAAGTGATTCTACTGCTTGTTGTTTCAAAGCACGTTTTGATATAATCGGAATGATATCAAGAGAATAGAAACATTTACTTATGACAAGTGTTATGTCCTTGTGAAGACTATAGAACAAGCTTCATCTGGTATAAGAAAAACTCCGAGGTATAGGTCACAATGCTGCACATGAAGCCACCATAAAACGGAGACACTGACATGTTTATTCTGGCTGTTTTCCTTGCTAAATCACAGTCCCACATGGTTAGTCTGTTTGAAAACTTTGAGTAAGTCTTCGAATAGCAGCGTGGTCACACTGGGTCAGTATACTTCACTTACACAACTTCAGAGGTGAGAGAGATCTCCAAGTCCAGCTCCTTCATTCTGTAGAAGAGGAAACTCTTAGTTATTCTAGAGATGTGGACTTAGTCATCTTAATACCAGACTTTATGGAGACTTAAGAAATATGGCTTTTGAATATTACTATATTCATGGATGAAATATAGTACAAGTACAAAACTTCTTCCTGCTAGTGACAGGTACTCTGGGATGTTTAATATGCCTTTTCTGGTCACTAGGGTACCATTTAGAGCAGTGAAGCAGTTGATTTACAATATGGTGCACAGAGGAATGTCTCAGAGCTCCCTTTTACCCACTGGGAGGACACAAAGTAGCATTATTTCATTACTCATGGCAGTTCATCTTTGAGTATGATTCTATTCACATAATGCTGACAGAAAAATACAAACACAATGTTATAAATGTTCAAATAGTTTATTATATTTTGCCTAATGTATTTGTGTGACTGAGCTTCTTCATCGTTTTCCACATAGATACTCATTAAAAGTTGAACATCTGTAGTATATGGTTTCGAGAAACTAAATTTGAAAATTGCATCTCTTAAGGGTATAATTACTTGACTTAATTGGCATGCAGTTTGATAAATATTTGTTCTGTGGAAAGAAATAATTTGTTTGAGAACTTCATTGGTGACTGATAGACATAGTTTTTATGACTTAGCATCCTGTAATTGAGCCAAAGAAATTGTGTTTACAATGGCATACGCAGTGTAATCTAACTCAAGAGAAAGGAAAAATAGTAATTTTGTAATGGCCGAGAATGACTTCAGGAAGGAAGAAACAATGAGCAAATAGAATCAGGAAAAACTATAATAATTAGAATGATAATAAAAGTAGTAATGACATTATATTAGTTTTCTGTGATTAATGTGACAAATTGCCACAAAATGGGTGGTTTAAAATAACAGAAATTTATTCTCTCACACGTCTGGAGCCCAGAATTCCTACATTCCTGTCACAGGGCCCAATCAAGATATCAGAAGCACACTTCTTCTGTAGGTTCTGGAGGAGAATCAAGTTCTCTCCTCTTCAGATTCTGGTGGCTACTGGCATTCCGTGGTTTGTGGTTGCGTCACTCCAATCTTTATCTCTGTCTTTACCTTTCCTTTTGGGGTGTGAGTGTGTGTGTGTGTGTGTGTGCATGTGTGTGTAAGCTCACTCTGTTTCCTTTTCTTAAGCATACTTGAGATAGTATTTAGGGTCTATTTACAGGTTCCAGGAATTAGGACCATCTTTGGGGAACCATTTTTCAGACTGCCACAGAGAAGTTAACTGGCTATGTTAGCACTGCGTATCATGGCCACTTTTGCCTTTCAGACTGCAGAGAATGCTACTTTGAACACACCCAAGATGACATTTGATGAAGGATGAGATTGGATTCCAACCATCCTTGCTCTTTCTTTTTTTTTCCCGATTCTGTTTCAATGTAAGGTTTTTCTTCCTAGGCTCAATGTAGAGAGCATATTCTTTAAAGTTTTCAGGTATCTTTCCTCACCTTCTAACCCTGACATTTTGACCTAGGCATTTCTTTTAAAGACTACTAGGTACTTAATGTATTATCCTCCCTATCGTATTATCCTCCACTCATAGATGAGTGAAGATTCTCCTTGTTCTCTTGGAGAGAAAAAGAAAACCAGTAGAAATTGCTGAACTCCACATCCCCCTGAATCAAACACATCTTCACTCAAAGATCATACTTGCTATGTATTCTAACCAGACCTCCTAAATTGGCTGCCCTGGGTTAGAAAATTCCAAAAGGCCACTGACCACTCTCAGCATTACCCATGGAATAACTGTGTTTGTTTATATTTTAGGGAAAATTCCCAAAGAATGTATTCACTATCTTCTCATAACTATTATCTGCAGAGATCTTCATGCTGAGACCTAACGCTTCCATAAATAAGAGGTTCAGCTTTGCCGGAGCCCTACAGGAAGAGGTTATGAAATACTGGGAACTTCTCGAATTTCCCAACCCAAAGCCCCCTCCCTGGATTTACTCCGTGACCCCAGTGCAGATATTTCTCCCTCCAAATAAACGTACCTCACATGCATAAGGGAGATTCCGCAGGTCCTTTTTAAGGATGCAGACCTTGGGAAGCAGCAAAGTATTTGTGCTAGGACAACCAGTGGAGCAGTTACCAACTCTTTCTCCTACACATCCCTAAAAGCTTTGTAAAATTTATAAGATCATGAAAGAGTAATGTGGACTAATGAATATACCTTTTCAGGACAATTTGTTGGAATTGAACACTTGGTTTGTGCCAGGCACTGAGCTAAGCATTTTATTTCTATTCTTTCATTTAATCCCTTGAGTTAGGGTCTCCTCATTATTATTATCCTCATTTTCTTGTTTTTGTTATATTTTGTTTGTTTTTAACTTTTAGTTGCGGGAGTACATGTGCAAGTTTGTTATGTAGGTAAATTGGATTGTGGGCGTTTGATGTACAAATTATTTCATCACCCAAGTAATAACCATAGTATCTAACAGACAGTTTTGCAATCCTCACCCTCGTCCCACCCTCCACTATCAAACAGGCCCTGGTGTCTATTGTTCCCTTCTTGGTGTTCATGTATACTTGGTGTTTAGCTGCTACTTATAAATGATAACAGGCAGTATTTGGTTTTCTGTTCCTGCCTTAGTTCGCTTAGGATAATGGCCTCCAGCTCTATCTTTGCTGTTGCAAAGGACATGATCTCATTCTTTTTATGGCTGCATAATATTCCATAGTGTATACATACCACATTTTCTTTATCCAGTTTACCATTGACAGGCATTTAGGTTGGTTCCATGTCTTTGCTATTGTGAATGGTGCTGCTGTGATCATATGTGTGCATATGTCTTTATGGTAGAACAATTTATATTCCTTTGGGTATATACTCAATAATGGATTTCTGGGTTGAACAGTAGTTCTGCTTTAAGTTCTTTGAGAAATTATCAGACTGCTTTCAGCAATGGCTTAACTAATTAACATTCCCACTAGCAGCGTGTAAGTGTTCCCTTTTCACCACAACCTCACCAGCATGTTATTTTTTGACTTTTTAGTAATAGCCATTCTGACTCGTGTGAAATGATATCTCATTGTGATTTAGATTTGCATTTCTCTAATAATTAATGATGTTGAGCATTTTTTTCTTATGCTTGTTGGCTGCATGCATGTCTCTTTTGAAAAGTATCTGGTCATGTCCTTTGCCCACTGTTTAATGAGGTTGTATTTTACTTGTTAATTTGTTTAAATTCCTTATAGATTCTAGATATTAGCTCTTTGTTAGATGTATAGTTTGCAAATATTTTCTTCCATTCTGTAGGTTATCTGTTTACTCTATTGATAGTTTCTTTTGCTTTGCAGAAACTCTTTAGTTGAATTACGTCCCATTTGCCAGCTTTTGTTTTTGTTGCAATTACTTTTGGTGCCTTCGTTATGAAATCTTTGCCAGTGCCTATGTCCAGAATGGTATTTCCTAGGTTATCTTCAAAGGTTTTCATACTTCCATGCTTTGCATTTAAGTATTTAATCCATCTTGAGTTGATTTTTGTATATAGTATAAGGAAGGGGTACAGTTTCAATCATCTGCATATAGCTAGCCAGTTATTCCAGCACTATTTATTAAATATAGAGTCCTTTCTCCATTGATTGTTTACATTCACGTTGTCGAAGATCAAATGTTTATAGGTGTGCAGCTTTATTTCTGGGCTTTTATTCCATTCTATTTGTTTATTTGTCTGTTTTTGTACTAGCACCATGCTGTTTTGGTTACTGGATCCTGTAGTATAGTTTGAAGTCAAGTACTGTAATGCTTCTAAGTTTGTTCTTTTTGCTTAGGATTGATGTAGCTACTGGGCTTTTTTTGGCTCCACATGAATTTTAGAATAGTTTTTTTCCTAATGCTGTGAAGAATATCATTGGTAGTTTGATAGTAATAATACCGAATCTGCAAATTGCTTTAGGCAGTATGGCCATTTTAATAATATTAATTCTGCCTATTTATGAGCATGTAATATTTTTTCATTTCTTTATGTCATCTGTGATTTCTTTCGGCAGTGTTGTGTAATTCACTTTGTAGAGATCTTTCACCTCCCTGACTAGATGTATTCCTAGGTATTTTATTTTTTGTGTGGGTGGCTACTGTGAATGGGATTGCATTCTTGATTTGGCACTCAGCTTGAATGTTGTTGTTATAGAAATGCAACTGATATATGTGCATTGATTTTGTGTCCTGAAACTTTGCTGAAGTTGTTTTTCAGATCTAGGAGCTTTCAGGTAGAGACTATGAAGTTTTATAGACGTAAAATCATATTGTCTGCAAACAGAGATAGTTTGACTTCCTCTCTTCCTATTTGGATGCCTTTCATTTTTTTTTTCTTGCCTGACTGCTCTGGCTATGAATTCCAGTACTATGTTGAATAGGAGTGGTGAGAATTAGCATCTTTGTCTTGTTCCAGTTCTCAAGGGGAATGCTTCCAGGTTTGGCTTATTCTTTAAGATGCTGTCATAGGTGGCTTTTATTATTTTGAAGTATGTTCCTTCAATGCCTGGTTTGTCAAGGGTTTTTAACATGAAGGGATATTGAATTTTATCAAAAATCCTTTTTGGCATCTACTGATAAGGTCTTATGGTTTTCGTTTTTAATTCCACTTATGTGATGAATCACATTTATTGATTTGTATATACTGAACTATCCTTGCATCCCCGTGATAAAGCCTACTTGATCATGGTGGATTAGCTTTTTGATGTGCTGCTGGTATTTTGTTGAAAATTTTTACATCTATGTTCATCAAGGATATTGGCCTGGTGATTTCTTTTTTGGTTGTGTCTCTGCTAGATTTTGGTATCAGAATGATGCTAGCCCCATAGAATGAGTTAGGGAACAGTCCCTCCTCCTCAATTCTTTGGAATAGTTTCCACAGGAATGGTACCACTTCTTCTTTATATATCTTATAGAATTTGACTGTCAATCCACCTGGGCTTTTTTTTTTGGTTAATGGGCTTTTTATTACTGATTTAATTTTGGAATATATTATGACCTGTTTAGGGTTTCGGTATCTTCCTCATTCAATCTTGAGAAGTGGTAAGTTTCCAAGAGTTTATCCATTTCTTGTAGCTTTTCTAGTTTGTTTGCATAGAGGTGTTATAATAGTCTCTGAGGTTTTTGTATTTTTGTGGAGTCAGTGGCATTGTCCCCTTTATCATTTCTGATTGTGTTTATTTGGATCTTCTCTCTCTTTTCTCTAGCTAGTGGTCTATCATTCTTATTTATTCTTTCAAAGAACTAACTTCTGGTTTTATTGATCTTTATATGGTTTTTCACATCTCAGTTTTCTTCAGTTCAGCTCTGATTTTGGTTATTCCTTGTCTTCTGCTAGCTTTGGGGTTGCTTTGCTCTTGTTTATCTAGTTCCTCTAGATGTGATGTTAGGTTGTTAATTTGTGACCTTCTAACTTTTTAATGTGGCCATTTAGTGCTGTAAACTCTCCTTTTAACCCTGCTTTAGCTGTGTCTCTGTGATTCTGGTATACTGTATCTTTGTTCTCATTAGTTTCAAATAATTCCTTGATTTCTGCCTTAATTTCATTGTTTAACCCAAAGTAAATCAGGAGCATGTTGTTTAATTTCCATGTAATTGTATGGTTTTAAGTGATCTTCTTAGTATTGATTTCTATTTTTATTGCATTATGGTCTGAGAGTGTGGTGGATATAATTTCATTTTTTTAAAATTTGTTGAGAATTATTTTATGGTCAACTATGTAGTCAATTTTAGAGTATGTGCCATATGCAGATGAGACTAATGTAGATTCTGATGTTTTGGGGTGAAGTGTTCTATAGGTAGATGTCTGTTAGGTTTATTTCGTCAAGGGTTGAGTTCAGGTCCCGAATATCTTTGTTAGTTTTCTGCCTCAATGATCTATCTAACAAGTGGTGTGTAGAAGTCTCCCACTATTATTGTGTGGTTACCTGTTTCTTTGTAGGTCTCTAAGAACTTGTTTTATGAATCTAGCTGCTCATGCATTGGATGCATGTATATTTAGGAGAGTTAAGTCTTCTTATTGAATTGAACATTTTACCATTATATAATGCCCTTCTTTGCCTTTATTTATCATTGTCGGATTAAAGTCTGTTTTGTCTGAAGTTAGAATAGCAACCCATGCTTTTGTTTTGTTTTGTTTTTCATTTACTTGGTAGATTTTTCTCCATCCCTTTACTTTGAGCCAATGAGAGTCATTGCATGTGAGATGGGTCACTTGAAGACAGCATACAGTTGGGTCTTGCTTCTGTGTGCAACCTGTCGCTTGGTGCCTCTTCATTGTGGCATTTAGCCTGTTTACATTCAAGGTTAATATTAATATGTGTGGATTTGATCCTGTCACCATGTTGTTCGCTGGTTATTATTATTATTATTATTATTATTATTATTATTTTTTGTTTTTGAGATGGACTCTTGCTCTGTTGCCCAGGCTGGAGTGCAGTGGCATAATCTCGGCTTACTGCAGCCTCCACCTCCCAGGTTCCAGCAATTCTGCCTCAGCCTCCTGGGTAGCTGAGATTACAGGCATGTGCCACTTGCCTAGCTAATTTTTTATTTTTAGTAGAGACCATGTTGGCCAGGCTGGTCTCAAACTCCTGACCTCAGATGATCTGCCCACCTCGGCCTCCCAAAGTGCTAGGATTACAGGTGTGAGCCACTGCACCCAACTGTTAGCTGGTTGTTATGCAGACTTGATTTTGTAGTTGCTTTATAATGCGTTGTGGGAAGTCAGGGACCCCGAATGGAGGGACTGGCTGAAGCCATGGCAGAAGACCATAAATTGTGAAGATTTCATGGACATTTATTAGTACCCCAAATTAATACTTTTATAATTTCTTACGCCTGTCTTTACTGCAGTGTCTGAACATAAATTGTGAAGATTTCATGGACATTTATCACTTCCCCAATCAATACTCTTGTGATTTCCTATGCCGGTCTTTACTTTAATCTCTTAATCCCATCATCTTTGTAAACTGAGGATGTATGTTGCCTTGGGACCCTGTGATGATTGCATGCACAAATTGTGCACGCAAATTGTGATAAACTGCACAAATTTTTTATAGAGCATGTGTGTTTGAACAATAGGAAATCTGGGCACCTTAAGAACAGGATAACAGTGGTTTTCAGGGAACAAGGGAGATAAAGTCTGGCTGCCCGTTGGCTGGGCAGGACAGAGCCATATTTCTCTTATTACCGAAAACGGGTAAGAGAAATATCACTGAATTCTCTCCCAAATAAGGAATATTAATAATTAACAGCCCTGGGAAAAGAATGCATTCCCAGGGCAGGGCTTCTAAAATGGCTGCCCTGGGAGTGTCTGCCTTATGCAGATGTAGATAGGGATGAAACACGCCCTAATCTCCTGCAGCGCCCCCAGGTTTGCTAGGATTAGGAAATTCCAGCCTGGTGAATTCTAGTCAGACTAGTTCTCTGCTCTTGAACCCTGACAATGCGTGCACAGCAGGACGTGGAAGTTCATTAGTGATTCTAGTTTCTCCCTGACCTTCTGCCTTGTGATCTTTTGTCTCCCTTGAAGCATATGACCTCTGTGACCCACACCCTATTCGTACACTCCCTCCCCTTTGAAAATTGCTAATAAAAACTTGCTGGTTTTATGGCTCAGGGGGCATCACAGAACCTGCCGATATGTGATGTGTCCCCTGGACACCCAGTTTTAAAACTTTCTCTCTTTTACTCTTTCCCTTTATTTCTCAGACCAGCCAACACTTAGGGAAACAGAAAAGAACCCACGTTGAATTATTGGGGGTGAGTTCCCCCAGTAATAATGTCAATGGTCTATGTACTTTAAAAGTGTGTTTTTTTGGTGGCTGGTAATGGTCTTTTTTTAATTTTAGCATTTCCTTAAGAACCTCTTGTAAGGCAGGTCTGCTAGTAACAAATTTCTTTAGCATCTGCTAGTCTGAAAAGGATTTTATTTCTCCTTCTTTTATGAAGGTTTGTTTGGCTAGATATGAAAAATCTTTGTTGGAATTTCTTTTCTTTAAGAATGTTTACTATAGGTAACCAGTGTCTTCTGAACTGTGGGATTTCTGCTGAAAGTTCTGCCTTTAGCCTGATGGGATTCCTTTTGTAGGTGATCTGTTCCTTCTCTCTAGCTGCTTAAAATTTTTTTTTTCTTTCATGTCAACCTTGGAGTGTCTGATGACTATGTGCATTGGGGATGGTCATCTTGTATAGTATCTTTCAGGGATTCTCTCCATTTCCTGAATTTGAATGTTGACCTCTCTGTTGAGGTTGGAGAAATTGCCATGAATGATTTCCTCTAATATGCCTTGCAAGTTGCTTGCTTTCTCTCCCTCTCTTTCAGGGATTCCAATGAGTCATAGATTTGATCTCTTTACATTATCCCATATTTGTTCATTCTTTTTAATTCTTTTTTTCTTTATTTTTGTTTGACAGTTAATTCAGAGAACCAGTCTTCCAGCTCTGAGATATTTTTTTGTCTCAGCTTGGTCTATTCTGCTGTTAATATTTGTTATCGCATTATGAAATTCCTGTAGTGTGTCCTTCAGCTCCATCAGATCAGTTTGTTTCTTTCTCTAAATGGCCATTTCCTCTTTCAGCTCCTATATTGTTTTATTGTATTCCTTAGATTCCTTGGATTGGGTTTTGTCTTTCTCTTGAATCTCCATGATCTTCACTCCTCTCTATATTCTGAATTCTATGTCTGTCATTTCAGCCATTTTAGCCTGGTTAAGAACCATTGCTTGGGAACTAGTGCAGTTGTTTGGAGGTAAGAAGACATTCTGGCTTTTTGAGTTGCCAGAGTACTTGCACTGGTTCTTTCTCAACTGTGGAAGGTGATGTTCCTTAATCTTTGAAGTTGCTGTCCTTTAGATGGGGTGTTTTGCTTTTATATTCTTTGATGCCCTCAAACCCTGGCATTTAATCGTGGTATAAGATGGTTTCAGTTGACTGGCTTCATTTTTGGAAGATTTCAGGGGCCAGGGCTCAGCCCAAACACTCCTGGACTGTGTGATTTAATGCTAGAGGGCTGGTACTGGGCCCCAGTTCTATCCTGTCTCCCCTGGAGGTTAGGAACCTGCTGCACTGGAGAGGCTGAGGAGTTTCCATTTTGCTGGCCACAACACTGATGGGGGTTGCCAACCAAAGTGCTTCATCAGAACAGTGGCAGAGTTACATGTGCTGGCTTTTGCATGCCAGCAGCCACAGTGCAGTGGCACAGTGTGGTGTCTGCACATCAGCTTGGGCACAATGGTGGTAAAAGTCGGTTGGCAGTGTCCATGTGTGCATTTGCACAGATGGTGGCATGGTGGGATGCCTTCATGCCAACAGGGGCATTGCAATGGCATTCATGCACACTTACCCCAGTAGTGGCAGTGTGGCAGACTGCACATCATTGGGAGCAGGGCTGTGGAATGTGCTCATGTTGCATGCACACATGTGTGCCAGCAGGGGAGGGGAGGCGAGGTCTACTTGCACTTGCATGCCCTGGAAAAACAGTGGGAAGGCTGTAGGTGAGTGCCTGCTAGCAGAGCAGGAGCGGGAGGATGCTGTGTGGAGAGGCTGTATGCAGGCTAGTCTGCTAGGGCTCTCGGATGGTCAGGTTCAGTCTGCTGGTGAGGGAGCTATGATGAGGGCCTCCAGGAAGCACCCTGGTTGGGCATCCAAGGCTACATTAAAAGTGGGCATGGCCAGGCTGGAGCTCCAGTACAGGCCAGCAGACAGTCAGGTACTCAGATCAGACTGGCCCCATCCCACAAGTAAGACCACCCTGCTTTCTTCAGTTCTGACAGTCAACCAAAGGCTAATGCCACCTAGAAGTACATGGTGAGCCTTGGGTGATAAGCGTCCCTGGCTGTGCTCCACAGCAGCCATTCCTGCACCAAACCTTGAAGCTCCACATAGGCTGAAGTACTGCCCCTGCCACCTCTCTAAGCAGCAATCCCTGCTAGCTTAAGTGTCTGTGGGAGTTGTGGGATCTCCTGCAGCTGAGATTCCAGGGGTCTATGGCAAGAGCAGACCACTCCTTACCTGTTCAACTCACCTCTTCCCCAGGGATCTCTGGGGGCCGGGAGTGAGCCCCATTGCTCATCAGCCCCATGCAGGGTTCCCAGCTTACTCCCCCTTCAGCCCAGTGTCTGCATCCTCCCTTCTCCACTCTCAATGCCTTCCCTCTGAAGATCTGCCTGGAGTGTGACTGTCTTCCCAATGTTCAAGTCTCTCAGTGGGAGATATTCCTCCTGGCAGCATCTAGTAGTCCTTCTTGGTCGCCCTTCCATCTCAACCTCTATTATCCTATTTTCCAGGTGAGGAATCTGAGGCTCAGAGAGATTAGATGACTTCACAGATAGCTGTGGAGTTGAAGGCTACACTGTGAGGCAGCAGTGGAGTCAAGATTTGAAGCAATCTGTCTCCAGAATTTGTCTTTTTAACCCTAAGCACACTGTCTTGTGACCATAGTTATGATCTTGTTATAGCTTTGCTTTTAATCTGAGAATATTCTTGAATCACTTTGAATGTGAGTCTTCCTTTCTTATGTTACAAATGAAAGGAACTCAAGACAAAAAGGAAAACAATCCCTTTCAAAACTGCTTCTGAATCTTCTGTTGGTAGCTTAACCATGGGCTATGAAACATATAAACTATGATATTTTAGATCCTGTCATAATTTAAAAGCACTGACAAGACCTATTCTGCAAACAATTCTGTATAGCATAAATACTTTTTCTCTATCACATTTATCACATCACAGAAGTATTATGGTAAAATGCTTTACCGTAAAATCCTCCAGCATCATACATCTGCATATTTAGACAGCTGAGTTCATCTTTAAATCAGCATTACCAAATCCACTTATGAACAACTGAAACAAATTCACAACCACTCAGAGCTAACACTAGGACACTTACACGCCATTAATGTTCTACTGGGAGTTTCAAGTAACACTGTATCCATTAAGAGAAAGGAAATTGTAGAAAGATGATCTTCAAGGCAATGACAAGTGAAATGGCAAATTATTTCTGCCCTAAAGGCAATAATTTTTCCATTTGGTCATGAAATATTGGCTATATTATTCTTTTAAAAGCCTGTTCTTTAACTATTATTTTATAATTTATATATTCTACATAATTTATGTTGTATATAAGTTTATGTGTAGATATATTCTAATGAAGTTTGTCTACAGCTAAATTACTGGCCTACTTCAAAACACAATACTAAGACTTTATTATTTAGAAGTCTTTAAAAGTTTGCCTCTAAATGTTTTTTGTTTGTTTTCACTGAAATATTTTTAATAATGTAGAAAATATGCTTAAGAGCGAGAAAATGATTTCAGCACATTTCTAACTATATTATATTTGGGTAAAATCCTAACTAAAGAAAAATGTTATTGCTAAGTTGCCATTAAGCTTCTCTTACTAAGAGGAATATTGCCCTGGAGTAGGGGGTCCATAAACTTTTTCTGCAGTGAGCTTTGTAGTGAATATTTTCAGCCCTCCAGACCTACTTAGCTCTGTTGTTGTAGTACAGAAGCAGTCACAGGCAATATATAAACAAATGGAAATGGTTGTGTTTCAATACAACTTTATTTATGGAGCCTGAGACCTGAATTACATATAATTTTCATGTGTCAGAAAGTATTACACTTCTTTTTATATTATTTCCAACCATTTAAAAATGTCATAATCATTCTTAGCAAACTGGCCACACACACAAAATAAAATAGGCCCAGGCTGGATTTTACCTTGAGTTGTCTATTACCAATTCTTTCAAAAGAATATTGTATTCATGTCAAGGGCCTCATTTAATAGTTTTTGCAGGGAATTGATGAGCAGGTGAAGAGGAGAGTACTGAGAATATCAAAGGAGTTTTAGAACCTTTTTTCACAAAAAATATTATGCTCTTGACATATGTTTTTTGCCAGAAGTCATAATCTCATGAGGCTCACACTTTACCAAAACCGAAATCTTGATTTTCCTCAAACCTGCTTCTCCTCTAATTTTCTCTATATCACAAAGCGGCAGCACCATCCATCCCCTTCTCCCTCATCACCCATCTCAAATCCATCAGCAAATATGCATGCCTGTTCCTTCTAGGAGTCCCTGGCTGCCACCACCTATTCATACCAACACTCTCTCTCACCTGAACCACCACGTTAATTCCCAGTTGACCTCCCCTCCCTGTGACCCTCTCCTCAGCAACAATCCATCTTTAGCAACGTATCTTGAGTAACCATTTGCAAATCAGAAATCTGATGATTGTACACATACTAGCTGCAATCTTAGCCAAGTTAATGCGGTACCTTAAGATTCCATTTCCTCTTCTGTAAATGGAAGGAGCAATTATCCATGCTTCTGATTTGATGTGAAGATTAAATGGCTAATGTTAAACATTTAGATGATGCCTATTCTGCAATCCCTATTTGATGAACTAGGGCCCATAAGATGGTAGCTACTATCATCATTAGTATTGTCATCATCATTGTCACTCTCCTAATTAAAACGGATTGCTGTTAGAATAAAATCAAAACGTGTCATCTCTTAGGTCTTGCAGAAGCTATCTGCCTCTCCTTGCCTGCCTTATGTTTGAAGCTTGTTAAGTCTCGGCCACTAGATCTTATTTTAGTTTCTCATGCACTCCAACCTCTCCAGGACCGTCACAGCTGCACCCTCCTATTCCTGTCACTGGATTCTTAATGTAAATGTCACTTCCTCAGAGAAGCCTTCCCTGACCACTCATTTAAAAAATATTTTCCACAAACTCACACCCTATGCAATCATAGAATTCTGCTCGTTTCTTTTATAACAATTCTCACGGTAGGTTATTTGTTAATGCCTTTATTTCTATATTTTTATTAGAATATAGCTTCCAGGAGAAAGATAAGCATGCCTCCTCCATCACTGTGTGCAAATATTGGTCTTCTATAAACATTTATGGAATAAAACAAAGAAAAATGAAATCTCAGAGATATCTGCTAATTTTATTCAAATTCTGATACAGTCATTTAAATTCATCAAACTCTAAGTGGTCAATAAGGAGGCTCACTCATTCTTCTGTCCATTTATCCAGCAAACATGTATCAAGTACCTTCTGAGTTAGCCCTGTACAAATTATAGAGGATCAAAAGCCTTGGTAGTTGCTTTCAAAGAATTCATAACATAATTGCATAAGCTGTCATTTAAAAGTACATATCAAAAATATATACATCAATGAGTCAATATACTTATTTTCTTCAGGTTTAAGTTTTAATTTTCTTTTTCATCAAAACATTCATCATATAAAATAGCACCTCTAACTGGCACCATCAGTTATATAGTAAACATTTACTGAACATGTGTCGGCTACTATACTAAGCAATGAAATTCTACTTGGATTTCTTTTTCCTGCTACACTTCACTTTTTAAGAGAAAGAAGCAAGTATCATCCAAATCAGTTATCGGATAGTCTGTTCTTTTAAAGTTTGTAGTTTTTGTCTTGGGATCTGTATACACGTATCATGTTCTGCTTTACTTTCTGCCTGGGCTACAGTCCCCACAGGAATTCATGTTGACCCTGATGCACTGCAAGGTCTTTGATACAAGGGAGAGATTATATTTTACCCAGTATTCTAACTATATCCAGAAAATATGTAGAGACATAGTCAAGAAATTTTTCGCAACTAATTATTTAAAGAAAAGCATTTTTGCCCTTAAAAAGGTTAAATCTTCATAATCCAATGAACAAGGACAGCCTATAACCAGCTGTCCGGTTGTAGGTTTTGTTTGCGAGTTCAACCGTCACTTGGTTATTTATTTCTATTTAAGAATTATGCATGCGTTTAGAAATTGCTACTATCAGATGGTACAGTAATGATATTTTCCTGGGCCAAACCAATAGATTTTCACAATATATAGTTAATTCAGAGAGACAGTTCTACTGAATTGTCTTTATTACAAATGTGGATATTAATTAAAACTTCTGAAATGAAGTAACTTAAAAAATACACAAATACCTATCCTGGTAAAAAAAAAAAAAAAAAAGAAAAGTAATTCAATAATTGGTTAGTAAAGTAACGGGGGTGATGAATGTTACTACGGAAAGTGGAAGATATGAATGCACTTAAATGATCTGCTAATAACTGTGTGATCTGTGGCAATTCTACCCCTCCAGATTCAGTTTCTATACTTAAAAAAAATAGAAAAAAAACTTGTATGAAAAGATTTCTATAAATCTTATATTTCTAAAGTTACATGAATTCAATACCACTTACCTGAACATTGGTAGTGTGTTTTAATGCAAATTAACTTTTTTATTAGGTGTTAAAACATTTTTATTACTGTTGTTAAAAGAAAAACTTTAGACAAATTTAACAGAATTTAATTGAGCCAAGAAAGACTTGCAAATCGGGCACCCCCCAGAACTAGAATAAATTCAGAGCAACTCTGGGGCTGCCACATGGTCGGATAACATTTATGGACTGAAAAAGGAAAATGAAGTACAAAAAAACAGTAGTGAGGTACAGAAACAGCTGGATTGGTTACAGCTCAGCATCTGCTTTAGTCAGAGAAGGTTTGAGCAATCGGCCACCAGTGATTGGCCTAAGCGCTCTGACTGATAGAAAAGTAGGTTACAGTCTGTTTACACCTCATTAGGTTACAGTTCACTGTATGGAGAAACCTTTAGGGTGAACTTAAAATAGGAAAGGAGGCAGCTTTAGGCTAACCTTAATTTAACACTGGTAATTCACTTGCCTCCTAAACTGTTAATGTAACTACCATCACAAACTTTAACACCTCCAAGAAGAGAATTTTTCTTCCCTGTTCCTTGATTTTTTAAAAAAGAGAGAATTAAAAAGATAACATATACTTTCTCATCTCATATACTGTAGCTTTTCTATCTTTTCATCCATATGGCTGTTGGGGGGAGAGGGGTGGTGTAGGGGAGAGAGAGAGAGAGAGATTAAAAAAAAAGAGAAATACTAGTTACAAGGCAGAATTATCTTTCTGATTGCATGAAACCCATAGATCATTTTCTCTCCAACAGAAATCTTTTCAGTAACCTCAATCCACGTTTTGGCTTCATTTTTTATTATGCTTTAACTGGATTATGGAATAAAACCAAGTTTCGATTTGGTTTCTGTTAGATATTGTTTTTCGCAAAGGGATTGTAGCTTTTTCCTATTAAAAAGTCAAATTTACCTTCAGTGAAAACACTAAAAGAAAATTGAACAGGAATTTCAACATAGAGTGATTTTGTCATAACAAGTTAGATATACATGGGAAAGTTCAGCAACTCTCAAAGTGCTTTATATCAGTGGTCCTGATAACCACTGCGTACATGAATGTTTACACACTAAGAAATTGACTTTTGCACTTAAAGCAAATAAACTTTCAAGTAGTTATATATTAATTCGGCTCTGAATATAAGTCAGTCACTATGTTATGACACAAAGAAATAGAAGTTTAGTCCTGGCCTTAAAACTTAAAAGTATAATAAAAAAAATAAAAATAAAAATAAAACTCTTACAAAACAGGAAAAAATGAAAAAAAGAAGTTCAGTTGACTTTTGATAGCTTTACAAACTGAGTTGGCAACAAATGTGTTCAAATGTGAAGAAAATCAGGAAACATCTCACCTGAATCTGTTTGGTAAAAAATTTGTTATGGGTTTATTTAAGACTCGTCATGGAAACGTCATACCTTATTTATGACACTATGTCCTAACATGCAGACTCAATGCAAATCTTAGCTTCTTTTTAGTGAAGCTCAAGGAAAAAGTCTTGGTGACCAACATAAGGAAGAGTCCATTTTAACATAGCAGCAATGCATTCATGAAATCCTAGCTGGAACCAGTTCAGACAGGGACATAGGATGTGCTTTGTTGCTCATTAGGGAAAAAAGAGCCATTTATCTCACTGGACTTGTGGGGATTGGGAGCAGGAAGCTGGGTTCAACTAAGTAGCTTAGTAGAGCCATCCGGCTTCCAGGAATGGGATAGTCACTACAGAGATGGAGCAGGACTCTGACTCAGCAGTGGGAGAGACTGGAAGAGAGGCAGTGGCTACTGTGAAAGAACACACCAACCACAGAGCAGAGACAAATCCTTTAGGTAGCTGTCTTTTGAAATTCACTTTGTATTCTACCTCTATGTAAATGTAAATGTTAAGTGCCTCCATTATAAATAACTTATAAATAATACTAACGTAACACATCCTTGATATTTACAAATAACACTGCCTAGAAATCTTAAAAGGAAAACCAAACATACATTTAATACATCTACAAGAAATACCTTTTTAGAAAATAAAATGTATATGTTTCAAAATTTGATGAGCATTTACGATGTGGAATAAGCCTACTTTTTTCACAGTCTGGCAAATGGGAGAGTCCTCATTTACAGATCCCATCCAATATGTCAGCCATTCTCCTGGGTTATTAAGACACTGAGATGAATATACACCCTCCCCAAACTCTAGGATCCCCTACTCTACAAAGGAGTGTGAATACATAAGTATCCAACTTGCTGACACCCAAAAGTGCAACAGTAGCATAGAGGAAGTAAGGGTTCTGCTTGGAAGAAAAGAAAGTAATAAGATTTCAGATTACCCACCAGGATATAACTTGGGTGCACATCTCTCACTGTTCTCATTTAGCCCAAAATCCACAGCAGCATGAAAATATGCAAACAGAGAACAGTATGCTGGTGTCATTTAGATGCACAAACTTTGATATCACACATACAGTGACATCTAAGGAATCATCACCGCACTAACATTCAATTTCCTTACCTATAAGATGGAGGTCATAGATAAACACATCTCAGACTTTGGAGCGAGATTGAGAGTATGTATGTATAGCACTTTGTGTAGTAGCTAGCATGCAGTAAGTACAATTACTCTTGGAAATTATTTTTATTTTCTAAAGAAATAGTAGCTATGGCTTCACAAACAAACCATTTAAGGATTCTTTAATAGCCCTATGAGACTAGAGCATGAAGTTTGAAAGGAGTGGCTGTGAAGAAAGAGGCCAGATAAAGATTACACAGCGAAGTTCCATTAATGCCCCCCAAAGGAATTCCAACTTGATACAAATGTAATGAGGAAAGCCCAGCTAACATGACTATGTGCTTTGGAAAGTTAAATCTAGAGACAATAGGAAGAAGATATGGAGCAGGTAACCAATCAGGAGGCCTTTCACTGAGGGAACAGTTTCTGCTATGAAAGCAGTAGGCCGGTTTTATAATTTGTGGGTCATTTTGAATATTGTCACGGTTATTTATTATGTAACTTTAATATGCATTTTAAGAGTTTCTGCAATAATTCACATGATTTTTTATGTTAAAATAATGATAAAAGTTTTTTCAAAAAAAAAAAAAAATGCCAGCATGAAGATGCCATTTTGGAGAGATGTATTATTCTAAATACAAAGTCTATTTTGGGCCAGGCATGGTGGCTCATGCCTGTAATCCCTACACTTTGGGAGGTGGAGGCAGGCAGATCACCTGAGGTCAGGAGTTTGAGACCAGCCTGGCCAATGTGGTGAAACCCCATCTCTACTAAAATACAAAAATTAGCCGGGCATGGTGGTGGGCACCTGTAATCCCAGCTACTTGGGAGGCTGAGGCAGGTGAATTTCTTGAACCTGGAAGGTGGAGGTTGCAGTGAGTCAAGATCAGGCCATTGCACTCCAGCCTGGGCGACAAGAGCAAAACTCCATCTCAAAAAAAAAAAAAAAAAGTATATTTTGAAGCTGACTTGCTATAAGCATTCTATGCTATAAAGCGAGATATACAGGCATTTAGATAGTTAAAGCAACAAGAAAATAAAAGTATTTTCTTTTGTGCATCTCAGGTCAGTGTACTTTTCAATATCACCTCAATATTTTCTCTTTTCCCCATGGGAAGATGTCTGAATACACTTTGGTGGTATTCATACATTCATACATGTTTCAAAGTGAAACAATTTCCTTGTGAAAATTTCAAATCATGAATTTGGATGGATAACTTTAAAATATGAAAGGTGAAAGGAATGAAAATATATTAATATACATTTTTATAATAGTAATGTTAGAAACATAACTTTTGGTTTTGATCTCATTCAGAATATAACTGACAAGAGGTAGATGATAAGGTAGATATTTACTAGTTGTGCTCTAAAAGTGAAAATGTCATATCTAATTGAATATCTTAAGCATAGATTATGTTTCACATGAAGAACAAAACCACAAAGGCCTAACTTGAAGGCAAACATTGTACTTTTGTGCCCTCCAGTGGCCATCTGGAGAATATACTCATCCTCATAGAATTGTTCAAGAAACATAAAGTGGCTAAGGAGACAATGGCAAAGGAAACAAGCAAACTGTACACCCAGAGACCCTGAGGCTATTACTTTCTCATAAATTTACTGAAGTAAGAAGAGAGCTAGCAGACTTGGGAGATTCTTCAGACTGCTTCCAAGAATGCAAAGGAGCTATTGGTTTGGACTACAGATGGTTCTTTTGATCATTCTTGAATATACTCTTCTTAGACACTTCTTAAACAAGGATTGCCAAGCACAGCATGGAAGCTTAAATTTTCATTTCAATCAAAAAAATTATGCATGGAACACAAGTGACACTAAGCTTCTCACTCTGGGAGAGGTATCACTTCAGTCAACAGGCTCCTGGGCTGGGGATCTTTTGGGAAACCAGCAGATAGCTACCGGAATGCCAGGGAAATAATTGCACATGGATTTTGCAAGAGACTCAAAATCAAATCACACTGGCAGAGCAAAGAGTTTTGACAATAAGACTTTAATTGAATAGTCAGAGTTAGATGGAACATCCAAAATAGAAAAATACCTGTTTATTAAAATGGACATTACCTATTTTCTCATCTTTACCTTTTAGTATTAGCTTAGCCCCAGAATTAGATGCAGTTAATACAGCCAGGTCTGCAGAGCATTGTAGATAGATTTTGATTCCTATTTTAAATGTGGCTGGAATTTCTGATGCCATTTCTTGCATGGTCCTAGAGGGAATAGAGCCTTTGGTTTTTATACAGTCATAGGTTTTGGTGCGGTTTTTTAAGATCAGTTTGTTATCTTTTTCTGAGAATTAAATGGATCAAAATGTCTCTAAATTTTAAAAATAAGTTTTGTTTAAACCCAGTGACTGCTTAACTATTTGCATAATACTTCTGAAAACTTTTTAGTTTTTCACAAATGGAAGCTTTCTTTTACTAGGCAGACAATTCTGTTTAATAAGTGAGTTCAGCTCCTGCACCACCGTGAATTTAATAGCCTGGAGATCCTGTTTCACTTTCTGAGAGAACAGATCCTATAAATTGCATTCTATGTGCCATTCCACTTCCTGTCTGATGGTGATGCGGAAAAACAGCTGTTGTGTGGGAACTGTTCAGAGCTGTGTTTCTCAAACCACAGGTCATGGAAGGGTGGTTAAGTAGGCCCTGTTTCCCTTTCTTCCAAAATAGCACCCAAGGCTCTTCTGACCTTGCCTCCTTCCACCTCTTAGTTGTAAGCCTACTAAGGAGTAAGTTTATCCTACTTCCTTTTGTTGTGTTTATTTTTAATTGGGGAGGAATAAGTACATATCCTGGGAGAGGCTAGAGTTATCCTGAGAGATGTGCGGGGTAAATATACATATACACACACACGTACACATTTATATATCTATCTATCTATATATATATATACACATATACACACACACACACTTATATATGTATAAGTAGAGTTCTCTCTTTTTTAGATTAGTGTCAAATGAATCTCATAGTCTAGGAACTAAAGCAAACCACATCACTCTAATTTTAGTACACCCTACCGTCAAACAATATTTTCACCCTGTCTTCAAATGGTACATAGAGAGATTTAGATTTAATTATTCAATATGGAATAATAGAAACTACAAGCAAGCATTAACCCAGGTTTACAGTTACTCAAATAGCAAGGATTAAACAATATACAATGGGTTGACAAATGTGCTGTCTCC
Organism: Homo sapiens; assembly: GCF_000001405.40. NCBI lineage: Eukaryota > Metazoa > Chordata > Mammalia > Primates > Hominidae > Homo > Homo sapiens. The sequence goes on from NC_000010.11 coordinate 52,217,663, forward strand.
TACTGGATAGGAGACAATGGAAACAAGTTTCATTGGTGGCTTGGGCAACTGATGCAAATGTACTAGCTGGGAGATAAATCAGACCTCAGCCCTGTTGGTAGTATAGACATCATCACAAAGGATATTTTAATAATGACACTGTGGCTAGCCTTTCTTTTCCTTCCTCCGTTACTCTCTACTTATAATTTGCATAATAAATGAAACTCCTATTTTATCTCTCATTCCAATGGCTTCTCTTAGGAAATTAATGGTTTAGAAAAATAGCTTACAGCTGGGAGCCGTGGCTCACACCTGTAATCTCAGCACTTTGGGAGGCCGAGGCAGGTGGTTCACAAGGTCAGGAGTTCAAGACCAGCCTGACCAACATGGTGAAACCCTGTCTCTACTAAAAATACAAAAATTAGCTGGGCGTGGTGGCACACGTCTGTAATCCCAGCTACTCAGGAGGCTGAGGCAGGAAAATCACCTGAACCTGGGAGGCAGAGGTTACAGTGAGCCTAGATCACCCACTGCACGCTAGCCTGGGTGACAAAGCGAGACTCCATCTCAAAAAAAAAAAAAAAAGAAAAATAGGTTACAGTTTTTTTTTTGGTTTTGGGGGAGTGGGTAAAAACAGAATGAACTAAGGCGTCTTAACAGCTGACATCCATCAAAGGGGCTGCTCTTTTGCCTGGCATTGAGGTAGCAAGCACAAGGCCATATAGAGAGACAGAATCCAAGAAATTCTCATAAAAAGCAATTAGATGACAACAGAAGGGACAAGCAGAAATTATTAAATGTTTTTAGGCTTCTGGTTAAAAAAGATATTTTAAAACCTTATCAAGTATGACCCAATTTCTTTTTGATTCAACATAAACTTACCCAACTGTATGAATAGTCGCAATACAAAATTTTGGTTCACAACAGCCAAGGCAGTATTCTCCAACCTGAATAGAAGTCTTAACTTCTAAACAATTTAGACTTTTAAAAATTATATAAATTCTACACTCATTACTTTAGAAAATTGTGTTGCAAAAATCAGTGTTTATTCTGGATTCTTAAATTAAAAATTTATAGGGATTAGGATACTTTTTCAAGGTAAATTTCCCTTTTGATACCTTCAAAGTGTTTGATGAGCAAAAGAGCCATTAATGTTTTCAGGGCCTCCCATGAAATGAAATTAGTGTTTATGAGTCTTATCTTCATTAATTAATATTTTAAACTAAACTGTTTAACCATAATATAATGTTAATAATTTTTCTGAAACAAAATATAAGAGAATATTATGACCAGTTTCTGTGTTGAACCAAAGCTAAATTCAACAGTAGTTAGATAAGCTGAAGATAAAAGGCAAATGATAGCATATTTATTTAAAAATGAAACACAATTTAAAAAGGAAAAACAAAGAAAGAAGTACATTCCCTTGTGGGACTTTTTTGTTTTCATGGTGAGCACTTCTGTAAGGAATACTTTTTTCCTATGTTCACACTAGATGTAAGTGGGTCATAAAACATTTACGTACTAGGATGAATAGATTTTGAGCTGGGAGGCTTTAATTAGTCATGTGCAACTATTTACAAGCTTATGAGAATTAGAAAAGTCATAGGAAAATAAAATAAAGAAATTAGCTGAAAAGAATGACAATAATTTAGCTAATTAGAAAATGTAATTATAGTGTATTTTCCTTCAGATTACAAACTCTCTGCATAAGAGTCCAGTAATCCTTTGAGTCTAAGATGCCTTCACTGATAATCTAGAATAGGATCAGGCAGAACCAATGAGGTAGGATATAAATATTAATAACAAACAATCCCAACATCTCACTTTGCATATTCATTTATTATTCTCCTCCAATAAGCTTTTATCCATGGTTGCTAACAAACTACTAAACCGACTGATTTTTTCTCAGTGCCTAATAACAAACAACAAAGTGCCTCAAGTAAACTGTTGGAAAGAAGGAGATGTAGTTGGGAAGAAATTAAATAACCCCCATACTGGCTAACAATGTGTTGAATAACTAACAATTAGCTGACAATCACTCATCCTCTTGTTATTTATTGTTAATCACCCAAGTGAATTTACATATAAATACTGAGGGCAAAATAATAATTCCTTCTTACCCTTTTTGCTACCAAACACTGGGCATATTTATAATTATCCTGCCAAGAGCAAACTATGCCATAGGCCTTTAAATATTGCAAATGAAAGAGGTGGGGAGAAAAAATAAACATACATTTCTCATTTATTTTTCTAAAGTAATTTAATAAATTCTTTTAGAAAGAAAGATTAAAAGTTGGTAGGTCATTCATCTTGAGGTTTCTGTGAACATCATATTTGCCTCTGTAAATAAATAAGCAAAACACACTCCATTTTAATGAGATCCTTTCCAATATCCCATATTTTTAAAAAGTGACATTACTTTCCCTTAACTGTAGAACAAAGTCAAGAAGCCTCTGTCTAGTCTTCAGGGTCTCCTAGAGTGTGGCCCCAGTGACATTCAGAATACAGTGAGTAGGATTGAAGTATGACAACTGAGGCTACATTATGAAGATGTTGTGTCCTCTGCCTTATTCCCTGAGGTTGTTTGCTTTCTGGGAAAGCCAGTCACCCTATCATGAAGACACTTAGGCAAATTAAGGAAAAGTTCACATGGGGAGGAAGTGGGCCCTTCTCCTAACAACTAGCACCAGCTTGCCAACTATGTGAGTGGGACATCTTGGAACTGCAGCTTCAATTCTAGTCAGGCTTCATATCTGCAGAGATGACATCTTTTATATATATATATATATGTAAGTTCAGGGGTGCATGTGCAGATTTGTATATAGGTAAACTTGTGTCATGGGGGTATGTCGTACAGATTATTTTGTCACCCAGATATTAAGCATAATACCCCATTAGTTCTTTTTCCTGATTCTCTCCCTCTCCCTACCCTCCACCCTCCAATAGGCCCCAGTGTGTGTTGTTCCCCTCTATGTGTCTATGTATTCTCATCATTTAGCTCCCACTTATAAGTGAGAACATGCAGTATTTGGCTTTCTGTTTCTGTGTGAGTTTGCTAAGGATAATGGCCTCCACCTCCACCCATGTTCCTGCAGAGGACAGGATTTCATTATTTTTATGACCGTATAGTATTCCATGGTATATATATACCACATTTTCTTTATCCAGTATACCGTTGATGGGCATTTAGGTTGGTTCCATGTCTTTGCTATTGCGAATAGTGCTGCAATGAACATCTGTATACATGTGTCTTTATAATACAATGATTTACATTCCTTTGGGTGTTGCTGGATTGAATGATATTTCTGTTTTTAGGTGTTTGAGGAATCACCACACTGCTTTCCTCAATGGCTGAACTAATTTACACTCCCACCAACAGTGTATAAGCATTCCTGTTTCTCCACAACCCCACCCGCATCTGTTATTTTTTTGACTTTTTAAAAATAGCCATTCTGACTGGTATGAGTATCTCATTGTGGTTATGATTTGCATTTCTCTAATCATCAATAATGCTGAGCTTTTTTTTCATATGATTGTTGGCCGCATGTACAGAAATGTCATCTTGATGGGCTAAGACAGAACTGCCCAGCTGAATTACTCCCGATTCTTGCCTCACAGAAGCCATAACATAATAAATGTTTATTGTTGTTTTAAGGCAATATATCTTGAGATAATTTGTTATGCAGCCTTAGATCAATAATATATAACCTCTGTTAAAATTTAATGTAGAAAATGAGCTGAATAAATGTTACAATGAGTTTTATTTTAAAAACTAAGTCAACACGTCTTTTTAAAAACTTAGGGTTTTTTTACTACTTAATATGAAAGTTAAGAATATTTGCACACTCCATATTTCATGGTACTTAATTTTTTGCATATGAAGCCTCAAATATAAACTTTATTAATGTTATTTTTAAAAGAAAACCAGAATATGAACTAGGTGTTAAGTCATATTTATTTTAAAGTAATCCAAGAATTCATATGAATATTCACTGTCAGTGAAAAAATTAAATCAATAAATGAGGAGCTATAACATCAGATATTTTTTACTTGTTTTACATACACAAACAAGATGATAAGTTGATCTAAAACAAGACTTAGAAATCAACTGCATGTGTGCTACAGGCTTAATATTTCTAAATATTGTAACAAATGCAAAATAAGACAGTTTCTTAATGCAAGGTGCTTTTAGCCTTATTTGTTAGTAAAAAGCTAGCAAACACTAAAAATTAAGGGAGATATTTGGGCTATTGGATTAAGTGCTTTCAGAAAACTGAAGAAATAAAACTGAAGCAGAGGTGGTTAGGTGTTGATGAAAAAGGTTTGCATAGATGATGGGTAAATATCATTGATTTATGTTGGGCTTTGGAGTCGGTAAGGGTGGAGATGAGTGTATTAGGTCACCAGCTGCTCCTCCTTCTCCCAGAGTCAGGGGAATTGGGTGAGTGGGTAAGGAGGCCTTGCTTCCGGTAAACACTCCTTGATGTTCCCTTAGAGTCATCCCTTTGAAGACTCCCGTCCCTTTGATGACACCAGCAGGGGTGACCCCTTTTAAGCCATCAGAGTAGTTCACCCATGGGAGCACGTGTGAAACATTAGCCTGCTTCTGCCCCTCTCCTGCTGTTTGCTGCTGCACAAGTATATTCTGAGCAGAATGGGGGTCCAGAGAGGGATGGTTTTTAGTCTTCCAATAATGCATGGGAACCAAAAAGTCAATCTGTAATTGATCCCTAAACTCCAAGCCTACTATAATGACATGAATTTCTGCCTAGATTCATGGTATTTTGTATTTTACAGTCTTTCATTTTCTGATGAATGTTTCTCAATGCAATTCTTCACCATTGGAAACCCCAACCAGGAGTGAGAATATGGGATTTTCTAGATAGATATGTAGATGAATGTATAAAGAGATGGATAGGTGAGAATCAGATTGTGGTTTAGCACAGGTTTCAGAGTCAGTCTGCCTGCATATAAAACCCAGTACAACTCCTTACAAATCATGTGACCTTGGAAAGTTAGTAAATTGTCTGTGACTCAGTTTTCCCCTGGGGGATGTAGTCATTTCTTGTAACAATTAAATGACAATAAGTATAAAAAACTTAGAATAATGCCTACCACATATTATGCAGTCGTTAGATAAAACAGCTGTTTGTGTTTGGTGGTGCTGTTGATAGGAAAACATATTGCCTTGTAGTAATACTTGATGTTATCCCAACTTTGCCTTACCTTTATATCATCCCAGGTGTATAAAAACTCTTACCTGTCCTATAGGCTAACCCAGTTTGTCATTCTTTTGGAACATTTGACTTTTACTGATAGCCATATTGGCTTATCACTGGTTTGACCTACACTAACATTTCACTGTGTACCAGCTCATATCCCCTTTCTCTTACTTCAGGGCATCACCCTAGAAATTCTTTTCTCTTTTATGTGAATATTTTCCTCGCTCCAATCTTTAAAAACCAACCTACCAACCAAACAAACAAAAACACTTTATCTCCATATCCCTGCTTTGACTGCTAATCCAGTTCTTTGTTCCCATTTAAGAAAATTTCTTGAAATACATATAAACATAGCATTTCCAATTCCTCACCTCCCATCCTCTCCCGGAGCTTTTATCCATACTGCTCTACCAAGGTCACTAGTGACCTCCGACTTCTGAAATTCAAGTTTTGATTATCACGTCTTACTTGAACTATCTGTAATTATTGACACAGTTGACCACTCTTCCTCCTTGAGACATTTTCTTCACTTGGGTACTAGAACCCCATATTCTCCTAGTTTTCTTTCTTTCCCATTAGCTGTTCCATCTCTGCTACTTTGGTTGGTTGGTCCTGAGCACTTCCAATAGTTCTATGTCGGCATGCTTCACAACTCAATCCTTGATCTCCTCTCTTCTCTATCTATCCTTTCATCCTTGGTGATCTTCAGGTAGTCTCACAGCTTTCGATACGCTCTACATGCTGACAAATTCCAGATTTACGTTTCCAGCCTGGATTTATCTTTTCAACTTCAGACATCTAGCAACCTATTTGAAAAATCCACTTGGACAAATCATACACATCACCCTAAAATATCAAAACTGAACTACTTTTTCTCTAAGCCTGTTCCTCTTACAATTTTCCCTATTTTACTAAAAAGAACTCCATCCTTCCCATTCATGAGGCTCAAAATTTCAGAATCATCCTTTTCTTTTTTCTTTCACTCACATCGTATCTTGGTCCAACAGCAAATCACATTAATTCTACCTTAAAAATGTATCCAAAACCAACCTCTTGGCATTAACACTGCAGTCTAGGCCACATCTTTTGCCTGGATTATTGCAATGACTTCTGACTTATCTTCATATTTCTGCCTTTGCCTTCCTATTGCCTGTTTTCAACCTTGCAGGTATTTTATAATATAAATTAGAGGACAAAACCAACTGCTCAGAGCTCTCCAGAGGCTCCTTTTTCAGAATAAAAGGCAAATCTTTACAATGGTCTACAAGGCCCCAGACAACTTGCACCCCTTTCTCCACCTTGCGTCCCATCTCATTGCTTCCTCTTCTCCTCTGCCTTCAGAGGAGACTGTTCCAGCCACTATAACTGTCTTGCTAATTGTAACACATATCAGACAGACTTCTGCTCCAGAGCAACTGCAGTTTCTGTTTTCTCTACCCAGAATACTCCATCCTCAGATCCCACAGGGCTCACTCGTCCATCTCCTTCTCAATTGGACCTTCTCTAATCTCTTAAACTAAAATTGCAGCCCTCTGGTTTTTGTTCCCACACTCCCTAGTACCCTTTATTTGTTTAATTTTATATATATTTTTAATTTTTCCATAGGTTACTGAGGTTCAGGTGGTATTTGGTTACATAAGTAAGTTTTTTAGTGGTGATTTGTGAGATTTTGGTGTACCCATCACCCAAGCAGTATACACTTCACCATATTTGTAGTCTATCCTTCGCCCCACCTCCGACTCTTCCCCCCAAGTCCCCAAAGTCCATTGTATCATTCTTATGCCTTTGTGTCCTCATAGCTTAGCTCCCACATATCAGTGAGAACATATGATGTTTGATTTTCCATTCCTGAGTTACTTCACTTACAATAATAGCCTCCAATCTCATCCAGGTTACTACAAATGCTGTTAAGTCACTCCTTTTTATGGCTGCATAGTATTCCATCATATATATATATATATATATATATATATATACATACATACATACATATCTCACAGTTTCTTTATCCACTCATTGATTGATGGGCATTTGGGTTGGTTCCATTATTTTGCAATTATGAATTGTGCTGCTATAAACATGTGTGTGTAAGTATCTTTTTCAAGTAATGACTTCTTTTCCTCTGGTTAGATATCCAGTAGTTGGATTGCTGGAACAAATTGTAGTTCTACTTTTAGTTCTTTAAGGAATCTCCACCCTGTTTTCCATAGTGGCCGTACTAGTCTACATTCCCACCAACAGTGTAAGTGTCCCCTGTTCAGCACATCCATGCCAACATCTACTGTTTTTTGATTTTTTTGATTATGGCTATTCTTGCAGGAGTAAGGTGGTATTGCATTGTGGTTTTGATTTGCATTTCCCTGATCATTAGTGATGTTGAGTATGTTTTCATATGTTTGTTGCCCATTTGTATATCTTCTTTTGAGAATTGTGTATTCATATTCTTAGCCCACTTTTTGATAGGCTTGTTCGTTTTATTTCTTACTGATGTGTTTGAGTTTGTTGTAGATTCTGGATATTAGTCCTTTGTCAGATGTATAGATTTTGAAGATTTTCTCCCACTCTGTAGGTTATCTGTTTACTCTGCTGACTGTTCCTTTTGCCATGCAAAAATGATCTTTAGTTTAATTAGGTCTCAGCTATTTATCTTTGTTTTTATTGCATTTGCTTTTGGGTCCTTGGCCATGAAATCCTTGCCTAAGCCAATGTCTAGAAGGGTTTTTCCAATGTTTCTTCTAGAATTTCAGTAGTTTCAGGTCTTAGGTTTAAGCCCTTAATCCATCTTGAGTTGATTTTTGTTTAAGGTGAGAGATGAGGATCTAGTTTCATTCTCCTACATGTGGCTAGCCAATCATCCCAGCACCATTTGTTGAAAAGGATGTCCTTTCCCCACTTTATCTTTTTGTTTGCTTTCTTGAAGATCAGTTGAATGTAAGAATTTGGGTTTATTTCTGGGCTCTCCATTCTGTTCCATTGGTCTATGTGCCTTTTTTTGTGCCAGTACCACACTGTTTTGGTCACTGTGGCCTTATAATGTAGTTTGAAATCAGGCCTAGTACCACTTTCTTGCCTAATTTTTCTCCACAGCACTTACCACATTTAATATACTATATTTAATTTGTTTCTTTGTCTCCTCCACTAGCATGTAAGTCATGAGGGTTGATTTTTTTTTTTTTTTTTGGTCTGTTTTGTCCACTGTTCCATCCTCAGCCAGCATCTATAACAGTGCCTGGCATATGCTTATTTTTATTGGCAATTTGCTAAAAGTACTTCATGATATCATAAAACTGCCTGATTCTGCTGAAAACATAGACAATTTGAATACTGTTTTGATTACAAAACTCAGATTACTTAAAATGTTCAAAATAATTTCAAGGGTTTTTATTTTACCTTGTCTTAGTTGGTTCAAGTTATTTACCACAGTCTATGAAATGCCTGTTAGCATAACTGACTTGCATGATTTACCAGTCTCAAGAGAGTTAGTTAGATTGATAAACACTAAAAAGATTACAGAAGTTCCCTGGAATCATAGTTTGTCCCTCACAGCAGGATTATTCTGTTATTAAGCTGAGAATAATTGCTGTCACCTTTAGCCACTTGGTTTTTATTATAAAACATGCAGAGCAAAGGTGATGTTTTACCAACTTTGAAAATGTACTTTGTTGTTTTAGTCAATTAAAATCGTATTTCCATGCTGAAAAATAATGGCTGAAAAATGTGTGTCATAACCAGACATACAATAGGCCAAACCTGCCCCAAGCATCCTCAGGGCTGTGAGTCATTTGCAGAGATGGCTGAGCTCCTGATCACAAGATGCACAGTGAATGCCATTTTCATTTCCCAGAGACTCCAGAGTAGGAAAAATCTTTATATTCCTTCAGGACTATTAGGTATCTTGTATATATCACAAAGGAACAGGTCAAAATCCATGGAAAAAAAAATATGGAAAACTTTTGTGAATAGGGTCAACATGTCAGTCATAATCACCAAAGGAACCTAAGATTTATTCCTGAATTCCTTTGAAAATGTGCAGATGCTATTAAATATCCATAGATTCCATCCAATATTACAGTGAAATAGGCAAATAGAAAATCCTAAATTGCAAGAGATCTTATATTCTGTCAATGACACATGTTATCAGTGGAATAAAAATGTAATTGGAGAATTTTAACATCTGGTCCTTGAAGCAGTTCAACAGGAATGAGGTGTTGTTTGATGTATTTTAATTAATGAATTATCATAATCAAAGCAAGACAGTATATGAAAGCAGCATAAAGATAGAAGAAGCTATTTCCAAATTCCCATCACATTATTTTTAAGGTTTTTAGTTCTATCTCTGGAAAAATAAGGAAATGTTGCTTACCTGACTAACAGTGGCACCATCTAAGATTATTTTTTTCTTGAGGTGATGCATTTCATAATGTGCTATTTTATTACAAAGAATAAAAATATAGTCAATCCCCTGTATCCTTGGGTTCCACATCATTGGATTCAACCAACCACAAATAAAAAATATTAGAAAAAGTTGCATTTGTGCTGAACATGTACATACTTTTCTTTCTATTATTCCCTAAACAACGCAATGTAACAACTATTTACGTTGTAAATAAAGCATTTACATTGTATCTGTTATTATAAGTAATCTAGAGATAATTTAAAGTGTATGGGAGGATGTGCTCAGGCTATATGCAAATACTACACCATTTTATATCAGGGACTTGAGGATCTGTGGATTTTGGTATCCACAGGAGATCCTGGAACTAGTCCCCCATGATTACCAAGGGATGACTGTATGTTCTATTCAGAAATGAGAACCCACTGCATTTAGTAAAATATAAAGACATGAATAATAGAAACATCTTCTATAAGCAGCACAAAAACCATAGCATAGCATTGCAATGATAGATTAACAACAAAACATAGAACTTTACATTTTCTACTTCTGGGTGAAGTTGCACTGCACATGTGCCCAGTTATATTATTATTGTCGTTCTCTGGGTAATGCGTGAGAAATCATTTTGTAAGCAATGAAAACGTGGTAATTTCCTTGTTACTTCTTAATTTGTGTTTCTAATTTCAGATCTCTTTCCCTTTCCAGAGGAAGTTAGCGATGCCATAGCTTTAATGTCTGTTTTAGCTGTAAAACTCTAATGTTCACTTTCTCTTAGAAAATCTAAAGCAGGTGATACATAATTTCTCACGATTTGGAATTTTTAAAAGGCAAGTAAATTTGAAGGTCGAGTGTGGGTAGGTTAAGGGGAAGTCAGAACACTGGTGATGTTTTCTTGAATAAAAAGAAAACCTTTCATCGTAATGCAATTGTCAACTGCATCACCACCATAATCATTATAGTCTCACTTTCATTCACTTTGTTTAAAATCCAAAAATATTCTGATTTGGATTTTCAACAGGAAGTAAAAAGAAAAAAAAAAAAAGAAATGAAGAGGTCGCAGCTAATCCAGGGATTTAAGCCACTGCGTTGCTGGTCTCAGAAGGAATCTGGTCTGGAAGGAGGAGACCTGAACTAAAGGAGAGGGGGTTCTTGCTCTTAAACTCTTAGAGAAAATCTTTTCACTTGGAAACCTACTTTTTTCCATTCATCCCCACTGGGTAAACTGATGAAATTTAGCCTGGGAATGAGAGGCCTATATTACAAGTTTTTCGCAGTGGTTCTTAATGCTCTTCTATGCGTTTCCTGTTTCATTTTACCTGAGCAAACATCTGCTCCCCTTTACCAAATGAAATTATATGAAAGGATATGGCACAGTGCCAGGCACGTAAGTAGCTGCTCAGTTTTAGTGGAGCACATGGACCTGTAATAATAATAACAATAGTATCATACACACAGTGCAAAGCTTTTTCTGACAAGTCTTAGCTTGCTCTTGTGTGCCCATATCTAGAGTACTGAAGACACAAGTCAGAATCTGTGCAAAACAGACCAGGATCCTCAGGTCTGCATCACTGGGCAGAAGTGGGTGGTTGATAATATTTGCTGGAATAAATAGCAATGAAACACCTGCACTAAGTGAATTCCAATGGCTTATCATGTCAGTTCGTCTCAGAAACATTAGCCTTTTTATGAGTTTTTATTCCACTGACATAGCATATCCTCAAGTTATATTAATTGCATATTAACAGCATAGCTAATAAACTCACATGACATGATGAAATGTTGCAAATATGCTTTGATGGAGCCTAAAGATTAGATCTTTTATGTACTATTTTTTTTTCTGTTGTCATTTGTCAGTAAAAGTGATAAAGAAGGGATTTACTCTCTTTTCTATTTATTTTATTTTCAAAATTTACCTCTGAGAATGTCCCCCCAATAAACATTACTCAAAGGGGTAAAGACATTATAAAAGACCTTTTTATCAAAAGAGTATTCAAAATGATTTGCCAAAGGCAAGAAAGTAGAAAATCTGAGATTTAGCTTTCCCCTTCTGAAAGGTACACTTACAAATTTCTGGTCAGCATGAGATACCCATAGCTTTCACCTGCATATTACTGAAGAAACCAATGATATCCTCTGTACCTCTGGAACATGGCCAGGTCTTTTCCCATTTCCCAATGAACCACCCTCATGATGGCTTTGAGGAGGTGAGTCATACTGAGTAAGCCCCAGGAAAATGGAAGAGGGGTCTATCTACAGGATGGAGTCCCTGAGTGGCTTCTTGGCAACTCTGATTTTGGCAACAGTTGGTCCTCAGAGAGGACATCTCAGACTTTGTGAATGCCTCTCAGGAATCATTTTCAGCCATTTCCAGCCTTTGGATTATGATGCCTGTTGCCTGATTCTGTATCTATTGCCTGACTGTGGCTTAGAGCATATTGATGTATCATCTGTCTCCTACAAGCTCAGGGAATAGTTGAAGGTAAGCGTCTTGTGCTGAAGCAGCATGAGGACTTTATGCTTTACTTTAGTCTATGTGATGACTCGTAAATTCCATATTTACTGAGAGGACAGTAGAATTGTGAAAAGTATATTAAATTTAAATTTCAAAAAGGGAGCCTTCACCTACCCTTCTTTTAATAAAGAGTCTAGAATAGATTGTAGAAATCCCATGCTTCCTTCATTATATATTCCATCATTTTTAGTTTGGTCCTTTTATTCGCTGGTACCTGATTGTATACAATATGGTTCAGAAATTAAACCGTGAAAAAAAGCATAAATTGCAATATACAGCAAAGTACAAAGAGTTAACAAAGTTTACCAGGACCAACATAAAAACACCAATTAGAACATTTCAAATGAAGAAACTGAGTATTAGGGAAAGGGTCAAACCCCAACATTATGGCATGTTTGGATATTCATATGTGCCTACATTAACTTTATATAGTAACACCTTACTTATCTCTAGTTTGCTTGCCAAGCAACTCTCATACCTAGATCCCAGCCAAGGGGTGAGGGAAGTGGAAACTTAGATCAGCCAAAAATTCATGGACAGAAAATCAGGCAATTAGTATTAACAAAACAGTACATGGCACTAGCAAAAACTCCATGAAAAATAATGATCATCTTTTATTATTATTACTAATGATTGCTTATAGCTTTGTTTCACATGCATTCTCTCATTTATTAATATTTATGATAACCCACTGAAGTTGGTTTGTTGATCATACCCATTAAACAGTTGAAGAAAACTGAGGCAGATGAATTAAGTAGCTTGTTTAGGTGGCCAGTGAGTAATGGAATTGGGATTTGTCTGAAGAAGACTGGCTCCAGAGGTTATGCTTCAGTTGTTGTATATTACTGCCTCCTTTATGCATCTTCATGCCAGGCACTCATCGCTCACATGGATATAGTATAGGGACAATTCTCATAAAATTGGCTATCTGGCTTTATAGCTTATAGAAAACAAGTATATTTTGGTCAGAGATGGGGAGTTAAGACAGGTTCCTTGACCCTATCAAAAGATAATGCTTAAAGTCTGATCAACTAATAATGCAAACCATAGAAGTTTTATTGGAGTCATCTTAAATAGAGGTAACATCACAGTGATTGTTTATTCAAATGTTGACCAGGCATCATCCTCTGAATGTTCTGCTACATAGATTATGCCTTAATTGGTTGGAAGAAAACAACTATCCTAGAAATACTGATTATCTAATTTTTTAATGGGGCAAGAGAAATCTATGTGGTCATTAGAAGGGATAAACTTCAATAATTTGAATTATGTGCTTCTTCATGGAGCACCCCATTTTTGATGGTGTTAGGTAATTAGGTGTTACTATTAAAGGCGTATTTATATTTTGGCTGGGTGTGGTGGCTCACACTTGTAATCTCAGCACTTTGAGAGGCTGAGGCAGGAAGATCACTTGAGCCCAGGAATTTGAAATCAGCCTGGGCAACATGGTGAAACCTGGTCTCTACAAAAAATTCAAAAAATTTTGGCCAGACATGGTGGAGGGTGCCTGTGGTCCCAGCTACTCAGGAGGCTGAGGCAGGAGAACTGCTTGAGCCCAGGAGATCAAGGCTGCAGTGAATCATTATCTCACCACTGCACTCCAGCTTGGGCAATAGAGCTGGATCTTGTCTAGGAAGAAAGAAAGAGAGAAAGAGAGAGAGAGAGAGAGAAAGAGAGAGAGAGAATATTTATCAATATGTTTAAAAGATTCCAGATCTAGAAAGTATCCCATTCAGCTTACTTTCCGTAATACTTAGGGCTTAGATTAATGACTGAAGAGTCTTTTGCTTATTAAGCAAACTTTTGATTCACCATTACGCTAGGTAACAAATTTCATTCCTTATATTACCTAAGAAAGGTCTTATCTCTGAACAAATACTCTAGACTGTTGGATTTAAGAATAGATAGATAGTAATAGAACTCCACTTCCTGTATACAAATGTATTTCCTAAACGCACATGAGAATATATGTTAGCAGCCTGAAACCTAAGATTGCAGTGATTCTTATTGCTGCTCATTTCTGTTTAAATCTTTGTTTCCTAATCAGCAAGTAACACTCTAGAAATTAACAATAACATTTATGAAACTATTTCAAGTCCTTTCTCTTATTGGAAACAGATTTGAACCTTTTCTAGCTTCATGCATAGGATGGAACAAAATTTAGGGGGAAAAAAGTTAACAGTGCAAGCCAAATAACTCAGTCATATCAGGGTCATTTTGTTTTCTTTGCTGGTGCTTTGATTCTTCAGACTTTAGCAAGAAAGACCTGTAAGAATGTTGTTTCTACACTTTGGGAGGCTGAGGCTGGCGGATCACCTGAGGTTGGGAGTTCGAGACCAGCCTGGCCAATATGGTGAAACCCCATCTCTACTAAAAATACAAAAATTATCCGGGCATGATGGTGGGCGCCTGTAGTCCCAGCTGCCAAGGAGGCTGAGCCAGGAGAATTGCTCGAACCCGGGAGGTGGAGGATGCAGTGAGCCGAGATCACGCCATTACACTCCAGCCTGGGCGACAGAGCTAGACTCCATCTCACAGAAAACAAACAAAAAAACAAAAAACAAAAAAAAAAGAATGTTGTTTCTAAAACAATTCTCAATATAGCAGTGGAATTTTTGGCTCCAGAACATCAATGTATCTTTTTTATATAAAACAAAACTCCACTGATAATTATCTATTTTGTATTATGTATCTTAAGTGGTATCTTTGTGCAAATAGTATATGCTATTGAATAATTTCTTTACTACCAGAATATCCTTTATAGTTCAGTAAAAACAGAACAATTACTGCTAAAAATAGATTCTCTCAATTTGCAATTGTTTGCCCCATATTTCATATATTTACATTAAGGTTGGTTCATATTTTGTTTTTCTTGTGAGTGGCCAAATATCACAAGTACTACAGAAATGAAGATACCGTGTGACTACTTCTGCTTCTGTTCAGGAGGGACAACCCCTCCCTATGGCTTCACACACTAAGTCCCTCAACTTCCTCCTAGCATACTTCACTGGACACTGCTCCAAGTGCCAACACTCAGGACAAGTTTCTAAGGCTTCCACCTCCAGTTCAGCAATTTCCTGTTATGATGAGGTCAAAGAAAGGTTTTCTGTCCCTGTGAATCTGCAAGTTCTACTATGTCTGTTTATAACTGCAAAGTTAAAGGATGGTAAATAAGACCGAGAATCCAATCAGATACTGTCTGTTCTTTGAAAACATTAAGTGGACATTGAACATCCCCATTGTTAAGACTGGGAAAGAGAGGCAACAAGTCAAGGTAGTGCTCCTATCACTTTATATAGTTTCTTCTATTATCAAAAAGCCTTGCAAAACCCAATTAATTCACATAGGCCACGTGAATTTGGTAGTTATTAACTCTTGAGACAAAACTTAATAACTTAGGTGAGGAAAAGGGAGCCAAAAAAAAAAAAAGAGAGAGAGAGAGAGTAGTGAGAATAGCATGTGGCCAAATATTCAACTCTGTATCTGAAAACTATGTGGGAAAAAGGAAGTCAAATATGAAAAAAAATCTCCAGCTGTTAAATGGCATAAAGAATTGTCATAATAGCTCCGGTCTACAGCTCCCAGCGTGAGCGACGCAGAAGACGGGTGATTTCTGCATTTCCATCTGAGGTACCGGGTTCATCTCACTAGGGAGTGCCAGACAGTGGGCGCAGGCCAGTGGGTGCGTGCACCGTGCGCGAGCCGAAGCAGGGCGAGGCATTGCCTCACCTGGGAAGCGCAAGGGGTCAGGGAGTTCCCTTTCCGAGTCAAAGAAAGGGGTGACGGACGCACCTGGAAAATCGGGTCACTCCCACCCGAATATTGCGCTTTTCAGACCGGCTTAAAAAACGGCGCACCACGAGACTATATCCCACACCTGGCTCGGAGGGTCCTATGCCCACGGAATCTCGCTGATTGCTAGCACAGCAGTCTGAGATCAAACTGCAAGGCGGCAGCGAGGCTGGGGGAGGGGCGCCCGCCATTGCCCAGGCTTGCTTAGGTAAACAAAGCAGCCGGGAAGCTCGAACTGGGTGGAGCCCACCACAGCTCCAGGAGGCCTGCCTGCCACTGTAGGCTCCACCTCTGGGGGCAGGGCACAGACAAACAAAAAGACAGCAGTAACCTCTGCAGACTTAAATGTCCCTGCCTGACAGCTTTGAAGAGAGCAGTGGTTCTCCCAGCACGCAGCTGGAGATCTGAGAACCGGCAGACTGCCTCCTCAAGTGGGTCCCTGACCCCTGACCCCCGAGCAGTCTAACTGGGAGGCACCCCCCAGCAGAGGCACACTGACACCTCACACAGCAGGGTATTCCAACAGACCTGCAGCTGAGGGTCCTGTCTGTTAGAAGGAAAACTAACAGACAGAAAGGACATCCACACCAAAAACCCATCTGTACATCACCATCATCAAAGACCAAAAGTAGATAAAACCACAAAGATGGGGAAAAAAACAGAACAGAAAAACTGGAAACTCTAAAACGCAGAGTGTCTCTCCTCCTCCAAAGGAACGCAGTTCCTCACCAGCAACGGAACAAAGCTGGATGGAGAATGACTTTGATGAGCTGAGAGAAGAAGGCTTCAGACGATCAAATTACTCTGAGCTACGGGAGGACATTCAAACCAAAGGCAAAGCAGTTGAAAACTTTGAAAAAAATTTAGAAGCATGTATAACTAGAATAACCAATACAGAGAAGTGCTTAAAGGAGCTGATGGAGCTGAAAACCAAGGCTCGAGAACTACGTGAAGAATGCAGAAGCCTGAGGAGCCGATGCGATCAACTGGAAGAAAGGGTATCAGCAATGGAAGATGAAATGAATGAAATGAAGCGAGAAGGGAAGTTTAGAGAAAAAAGAATAAAAATAAATGAGCAAAGCCTCCAAGAAATATGGGACTATGTGAAAAGACCAAATCTACGTCTGATTGGTGTACCTGAAAGTGACGGGGAGAATGGAACCAAGTTGGAAAACACTCTGCAGGATATTATCCAGGAGAACTTCCCCAATCTAGCAAGGCAGGCCAACATTCAGATTCAGGAAATACAGAGAACGCCACAAAGATACTCCTCGAGAAGAGCAACTCCAAGACACATAATTGTCAGATTCACCAAAGTTGAAATGAAGGAAAAAATGTTAAGGGCAGCCAGAGAGAAAGGTCGGGTTACCCTCAAAGGGAAGCCCATCAGACTAACAGCGGATCTTTCGGCAGAAACCCTACAAGCCAGAAGAGAGTGGGGGCCAATATTCAACATTCTTAAAGAAAAGAATTTTCAACCCAGAATTTCATATCCAGCCAAACTAAGCTTCATAAGTGAAGGAGAAATAAAATCCTTTACAGACAAGCAAATGCTGAGAGATTTTGTCACCACCAGGCCTGCCCTAAAAGAGCTCCTGAAGGAAGCGCTAAACATGGAAAGGAACAACCGGTACCAGCCGCTGCAAAATCATGCCAAAATGTAAAGACCGTCGAGACTAGGAAGAAACTGCATCAACTAACGAGCAAAATAACCAGCAAACATCATAATGACAGGATCAAATTCACACATAACACTATTAACTTTAAATGTAAATGGACTAAATGCTCCAATTAAAAGACACAGACTGGCAAATTGGATAAAGAGTCAAGACCCATCAGTGTGCTGTATTCAGGAAACCCATCTCACGTGCAGAGACACACATAGGCTCAAAATAAAAGGATGGAGGAAGATCTACCAAGCAAATGGAGAACAAAAAAAGGCAGGGGTTGCAATCCTAGTTTCTGATAAAACAGACTTTAAACCAACAAAGATCAAAAGAGACAAAGAAGGCCATTACATAATGGTAAAGGGATCAATTCAACAAGAAGAGCTAACTATCCTAAATATATATGCACCCAATACAGGAGCACCCAGATTCATAAAGCAAGTCCTGAGTGACCTACAAAGAGACTTAGACTCCCACACATTAATAATGGGAGACTTTAACACCCCACTGTCAACATTAGACAGATCAACGAGACAGAAAGTCAACAAGGATACCCAGGAATTGAACTCAGCTCTGCACCAAGCGGACCTAATAGACATCTGCAGAACTCTCCACCCCAAATCAACAGAATATACATTTTTTTCAGCACCACACCACACCTATTCCAAAATTGACCACATAGTTGGAAGTAAAGCTCTCCTCAGCAAATGTAAAAGAACAGAAATTATAACAAACTATCTCTCAGACCACAGTGCAATCAAACTAGAACTCAGGATTAAGAATCTCACTCAAAGCCGCTCAACTATATGGAAACTGAACAACCTGCTCCTGAATGACTACTGGGTACATAACGAAATGAAGGCAGAAATAAAGATGTTCTTTGAAACCAACGAGAACAAAGACACAACATACCAGAATCTCTGGGACGCATTCAAAGCAGTGTGTAGAGGGAAATTTATAGCACTAAATGCCCACAAGAGAAAGCAGGAAAGATCCAAAATTGACACCCTAACATCACAATTAAAAGAACTAGAAAAGCAAGAACAAACACATTCAAAAGCTAGCAGAAGGCAAGAAATAACTAAAATCAGAGCAGAACTGAAGGAAATAGAGACACAAAAAACCCTTCAAAAAATCAATGAATCCAGGAGCTGGTTTTTTGAAAGGATCAACAAAATTGATAGACCGCTAGCAAGACTAATAAAGAAAAAAAGAGAGAAGAATCAAATAGACACAATAAAAAATGATAAAGGGGATATCACCACCGATCCCACAGAAATACAAACTACCATCAGAGAATACTACAAACACCTCTACACAAATAAACTAGAAAATCTAGAAGAAATGGATAAATTCCTCGACACATACACTCTCCCAAGACTAAACCAGGAAGAAGTTGAATCTCTGAATAGACCAATAACAGGAGCTGAAATTGTGGCAATAATCAATAGCTTACCAACCAAAAAGAGTCCAGGACCAGATGGATTCACAGCCGAATTCTACCAGAGGTACAAGGAGGAACTGGTACCATTCCTTCTGAAACTATTCCAATCAATAGAAAAAGAGGGAATCCTCCCTAACTCATTTTATGAGGCCAGCATCATTCTGATACCAAAGCCGGGCAGAGACACAACCAAAAAAGAGAATTTTAGACC
Source organism: Homo sapiens (assembly GCF_000001405.40). NCBI lineage: Eukaryota > Metazoa > Chordata > Mammalia > Primates > Hominidae > Homo > Homo sapiens. The sequence goes on from NC_000010.11 coordinate 52,236,883, forward strand.
AATATCCTTGATGAACATTGATGCAAAAATCCTCAATAAAATACTGGCAAACCGAATCCAGCAGCACATCAAAAAGCTTATCCACCATGATCAAGTGGGCTTCATCCCTGGGATGCAAGGCTGGTTCAATATACACAAATCAATAAATGTAATCCAGCATATAAACAGAGCCAAAGACAAAAACCACATGATTATCTCAATAGCTGCAGAAAAAAGCCTTTGACAAAATTCAACAACCCTTCATGCTAAAAACTCTCAATAAATTAGGTATTGATGGGACGTATTTCAAAATAATAAGAGCTATCTATGACAAATCCACAGCCAATATCATACTGAATGGGCAAAAACTGGAAGCATTCCCTTTGAAAACTGGCACAAGACAGGGATGCCCTCTCTCACCACTCCTATTCAACACAGTGTTGGAAGTTATGGCCAGGGCAATTAGGCAGGAGAAGGAAATAAAGGGTATTCAATTAGGAAAAGAGGAAGTCAAATTGTCCCTGTTTGCAGACGACATGATTGTATATCTAGAAAACCCCATTGTCTCAGCCCAAAATCTCCTTAAGCTGATAAGCAACTTCAGCAAAGTCTCAGGATACAAAATCAATGTACAAAAATCACAAGCATTCTTATACACCAACAACAGACAAACAGAGAGCCAAATCATGAGTGAACTCCCATTCACGATTGCTTCAAAGAGAATAAAATACCTAGGAATCCAACTTACAAAGGATGTGAAGGACCTCTTCAAGGAGAACTACAAACCACTGCTCAAGGAAATAAAAGAGGATACAAACAAATGGAAGAACATTCCATGCTCATGGGTAGGAAGAATCAATATCGTGAAAATGGCCATACTGCCCAAGGTAATTTACAGATTCAATGCCATCCCCATCAAGCTACCAATGACTTTCTTCACAGAATTGGAAAAAACTACTTTAAAGTTTATATGGAACCAAAAAAGAGCCCGCATCGCCAAGTCAATCCTAAGCCAAAAGAACAAAGCTGGAGGCATCACACTACCTGACTTCAAACTATACTGCAAGGCTACAGTAACCAAAACAGCATGGTACTGGTACCAAAACAGAGATATAGATCAATGGAACAGAACAGAGCCCTCAGAAATAACGCCACATACCTACAACTATCTGATCTTTGACAAACCTGAGAAAAACAAGCAATGGGGAAAGGATTCCCTATTTAATAAATGGTGCTGGGAAAACTGGCTAGCCATATGTAGAAAGCTGAAACTGGATCCCTTCCTTACACCTTATACAAAAATCAATTCAAGATGGATTAAAGATTTAAACGTTAGACCTAAAACCATAAAAACCCTAGAAGAAAACCTAGGCATTACCATTCAGGACATAGGCATGGGCAAGGACTTCATGTCTAAAACACCAAAAGCAATGGCAACAAAAGACAAAATTGACAAATGGGATCTAATTAAACTAAAGAGCTTCTGCACAGCAAAAGAAACTACCATCAGAGTGAACAGGCAACCTACAAAATGGGAGAAAATTTTCGCAACCTACTCATCTGACAAAGGGCTAATATCCAGAATCTACAGTGAACTCAAACAAATTTACAAGAAAGAAACAAACAACCCCATCAAAAAGTGGGTGAAGGACATGAACAGACACTTCTCAAAAGAAGACATTTATGCAGCCAAAAAACACATGAAAAAATGCTCATCATCACTAGCCATCAGAGAAATGCAAATCAAAACCACTATGAAATACCATCTCACACCAGTTAGAATGGCAATCATTAAAAAGTCAGGAAACAACAGGTGCTGGAGAGGATGTGGAGAAATAGGAACACTTTTACACTGTTGGTGGGACTGTAAACTAGTTCAACCATTGTGGAAGTCAGTGTGGCGATTCCTCAGGGATCTAGAGCTAGAAATACCATTTGACCCAGCCATCCCATTACTGGGTATATACCCAAATGACTATAAATCATGCTGCTATAAAGACACATGCACACATATGTTTATTGCGGCACTATTCACAATAGCAAAGACTTGGAACCAACCCAAATGTCCAACAATGATAGACTGGATTAAGAAAATGTGGCACATATACACCATGGAATACTATGCAGCCATAAAAAATGATGAGTTCATGTCCTTTGTAGGGACATGGATGAAATTGGAAATCATCATTCTCAGTAAACTATCGCAAGAACAAAAAACCAAACACCGCATATTCTCACTCATAGGTGGGAATTGAACAATGAGATCACATGGACACAGGAAGGGGAATATCACACTCTGGGGACTGTGGTGGGGTGGGGGGAGGGGGGAGGGATAGCATTGGGAGATATACCTAATGCTAGATGACAAGTTAGTGGGTGCAGCGCACCGGCATGGCACATGTATACATATGTAACTAACCTGCACAATGTGCACATGTACCCTAAAACTTAAAGTATAATAAAAAAAAATAAATAAATAAAATTAAAAAAAAAAAAGAGATTCCTTTTTTTGAGAATAAATTTTAATTGGTTATGGTTTTTACTGAAATGAGTTGATTAGATGTGTAGAGAAACTGCTATAATTTTTCATGTTTAAGGGAAAGCCAATAAAATATATATGAGGAAAAAAATAAAAATAAAAATAAAAATTTCTACAGTGTAAAAAAAAAAAAAAAAAAAAAAAAGAATTGTCATAATAGGCCTGAATGCCCCCTCCCAGTTTCTTTCATTTTACTCAATTATTTACCAACAATTAAAAAATGGGGAAAATTATTTAGGGCTGTTCAACTAGATATATACAAGTGTAGAGTGAGGAGCTTTAAGACATGAATGTCAGCTGAAGTGTTACAGCAGCATTCATTTGAACTGGCATATGGCTAAAGTGAAATCTGATTGTGGTTTTTTTCCCAAACTTCTGTAACGAGTGATGGATATGCTCAGAGAAGCAATTATTATAATAATTTTGTATACATATAGAAAAGACAAGACATTGAGTTGTTCCCCCTTCACCATTGTCTCTTCACTCCTGTGATTTGTGGGAAAATGTATGGAAAGGCACCAGTTTCTAATATTATAGTCATCTCAATATACAAATCCTGCTCAATGAATTTTACTGTGACCCTTTTGAATGACTGTGCAGAAACCTTAGCAATGTGGAAATTTGTAATCCCTTTATAAAGTTATCTGATTTTGAGAGGGACACCTTTCCAAGGTAAAAGTTATGAAGAAGATCACAATTCAATTAAGCTTATTTTGTTTCTGTCATCTCCTGTAAGTATGCACTGCATTAAAAACTACAGAATGACTACATTGGCAGGATCAAGGTTCACATATTGTTAGTGATCAGTCGTATCAATAATATGGCACTTGAAACGCTGTGATGAAAATGGCACTTATCTCTGTAGTCTTCTTCTTCCTCAGAATGTCCTAATTCTAGTCTAATCATGAGAAAAACATCAGACTATCCCAAATTGAGGGACATTCTACAAAACACTTGTCAAGTATTTCTCAAAAACAAGGAAGGGAGATAAGACAAATAAATACAAGATGATATTCTGGATGGGATCCCGGACCAGAAAACGGACCATAAGTATAAGCTAAGGAAATCTGAATAAAAGTATGGAGTTTAGTTTCAAAAGGAAACAAAACCCTATAGATTGCTTCATCATTCAAGTTTAAAACAAGTTTTATTGATACACCATTCAGTTTTTTGGCAGCATCATAGAACAATGCCAAATTTTGCATCCAATGGCAGTGACTTGATAACAAATGTGAGATGTTTCCTGGGACTTAATTCATTTGATTAACGCACCGATCACTATTACCAAACAACTTAACATGGTAAAAATTTTGCTCCATTTTATTCTTTTCTGCTTAGTAATTTCTATACTAAGAATGATATACGGGCTTTCTCCATTTCAAGAATGGATGGTGTTCTCAAAGACCATTTGAGAACAGTTGTTTGGACCCTGGATACATTTTCCTGTGATACTTGTATACTAAGTAGTAAGTGTCTTGTCACGTACATATCAAATAAATACTAATGGTTCTTTAAAATATACATGTGATTATTACCATTGGTAATTAACTGCTGTATAGACTTACTTATGAATTTCATTTTAAAATACTGATGCCTAGTCCCAAATCTCGAAGTTTTATCGAGTCTGTTTTTCACACAACCCATATTCTAATATGAATCTTGGGAAGGGAAGGAACCTCTGGTCTGTTATAGTTCTATTTCAAACATCCAAGACGTATTTTCCCCAACTACTGTTTGGGCATTAAATCAGGGTCTCCTGCCTGCCTGTTTTGCGTACCAGGAGTTGAAAGCAGGACTCCATGAAATGAAAACCTCTGGTATTATTTTCCCGAAGCAAGAGCTTTAGGAGCCTAGGATTGGAGGACAGGATTGGGAAGGGGACGATTGAGTAGCAAAAAGAGAAACTACAGGTACCAGGACTCTCTGCAAAGTTTGTATCTCTCAAGACACTTGGAATAATAGAACTGTCAAGCTGTAAGTGAGCTTCGTAGACATGTCCAATGCAAACCCTTCGTTTTGCAGAAAAGGGGATATCTTGCACAAGTTGGCCTGGGGCTAGCTTCCTGATAATTTCTTTTGTTATACTCCTAGAGGCCATGGAGGGTAACTTGTAATCTTATTTTCTTCTTTCCACACATTGCATTATACTGTCTTTTTATTGTTTGACCCACTACAACCATGACTATATCCCTAAGCCTTCTGTACATGAAGTTATGCAAAATTCATCAGAGATTTCCTATTCAGAAGATCGCTGCTAGTAACCATAGAGAAAAGGTGCAGCCTGGATTCTTATAAACATGAGAGAACACAGCAAAAATTTGGAAGCCAGAAATAAAAGCTGACTTCTAGTGTTTAAGTCCTGCCTTAACTTTCTGTTCCCAGTTCAATATTTCGACTGATCCCTTTGATTAATATTATAATTAAGACTAGTTTTAAGGTTTAAGATTAAATGTTTCCATCTTTCTTTGAATACCCTCCATTTAACAAATGACCTGCAAAACAAAGCAAAGACTCTTCTTAGTCTTCGGGTAGAAAAGGGATTTTTAAATTTGAAGGCAAAACGTGATTTGTCTTTAGCTATCCCTTCTTTAGAAATGAAGGCTATGGCAAAGATGTCCTCATGGAAATTGCAATGAGAGCTCTGTAGTAATGCATGATTTTTCCAGGGTGGCGTGAAGCAATAACATGAAGATGAGGGACGTTTACCTGCAGGCCTGAGTTGCTGCAGCAGTGAAAGCAGGAGGAGGAGTCATTTTCATCTATCTTCTTTCTCATTAAACCTCACCTCTCTGGCCCTGGGTAGCCATGCCATAATAGTCACCAACTCTGGACCACCCTGGTCTACAATAAAAAGCAAACAACTCAGGACTGAGGTTCAGAGAGACGCAGAAGAAAATGAAGAAATTAACTTGCACTGAGATGAGAGAGAATTTCCTCAGATCCCAGCTTCTAATGGCTGTGCATTTATATAAAGGAAATATCTATTCTGGCATGAATAAAGTTGAGAACTTCATGCATTTTTGTTTGAATACATATATGAGATTATTGATATTCTGTAAAGCAAAAAAGAATCATCACTAAATAACTTAATAAATGAACTTTTCATTATGGCCAATGATTCCATTAAAGTAACATATACCAAAAGGGAGAAAACCTTGAATTCTTTTCTGGCCAGTTCTTTATTCATGGACCTTTTTTAGAAAAAGAAAAATTTGGCCAGGCACGGTGCCTCACACCTGTAATCCCAACACTTTAGGAGGCCAAGGTGGGTGGATCACTTGAGTTCAGGAGTTGGAGACCATCCTGGCCAACATGGTGAAACCCTGTCTCTACAACAACACAAAAATTAGCTGGGTATGGTGGCATGTGCCTGTAGTCCCAGCTACTCAGGAGGCTGAGGCAGGAGACTCACTTGAACCCAGGAGGTAGAGGTTACAGTGAGTCCAGATCACACCACTGCACTCCAGCCTGAGTGACAGACGGAGACTCAGTCTCAAAAAAAAAGAAGGAGAAGGAGAAAGAGAAGAAGAAGAAAGAAGAAGAAAAAAGAAAAGAAAAATTTATTTCAAACTGTAAAAAAATTTCAAGATTAATTATTTAAAATGAATATTTGCCAATACATTTAAAGCTGACAATGGGTAGTATATTCTCATTCATCTTTTACAAATGCTGCTCTGATATTTGAATTTTTAAAACATCTCTTTTGAGTACCTGTGGACTTTCATTTTTGGCCTTTAATTTTATTGGAACACACACAGGCAGGAACCACGTTGTAGGCAAGAACACGTAAGTGCTTAGCTGTAGGGAGGCCAAAATTGTTCTAGACTGAAATGTGTAGTAAAAGAACATATTACTCAAATATATTTTATAACTTTTACATTTGCCTTTGTTTTTCAAATATAAGGACATTACAAAAACTGCAGATAGAATCAGATAGTAAAAATTATTATAGCCCAGAAGTCAGAATGGCAGTCTTCTATGCCTAGGTCTTTATGACCTTAGCTAAAGTCATTTAACATCTCCAGATTAGTTCCTTTATTTAAAAAAAAGCAATGTGGAGGTTAAACTAGATGAGGTCCACTGTTTTGAAGTGTGTTGGCATTTTAAGATTTTGAGATAAAAACATCTTTAAAATGGTGACTCTCTGCTGTCATGTTTAAAAGGAAAATTATTTATGTGGAATAAGCATAAATATGCTATGATGTGAAACATGCCCAAGGTCCTAATTTTTCCGGTGTTTAATTATTGAAACCAATCACTTATCAGCAGCTGGTTTACCCAGGTGCAAAATAGAAGTAAAAGTATTTGTTATCTTATCTTCACAAAGAATCAGCCAGGATAAATTAAATAAGAGAGATTTTAAAGTCGTAGAAGAAAGGTGCTTTCTAAATACAGAATATTTGCATTACTATCATTCTTATTATGCAGCAGATATACGAAATGCAATTTTCCTGTATATTCCCGTTGGCTATAGCTCCTCAAGAAAATGTATTTGAAAAATAAGTGGAACTATTTCATGACTAGAGTGCTCAAAGAAAAGTCTATTTCTGAAAACCACAATTTTGGAAATAGCAGGAGCAAACTAACGTTATCTCAAATTCCCTGAAGAAGAGATTATATTTTCCAGAGTAAATTGATATAATGAAATACTTCAGATTCATTAAATTACTTTTACACTTTCTATTTCTTTAAGTTATTCCTTCCACTGCTAAAAGGATGGTGATTACACCTAGATGCTGTACAACAAGAATACATTAGAAATTGGCCCTTTTTGCTTAGAATTTTAGAAGTCTTCTTGTTTAAAGAGATTTTTTAAAACTTTATAGTAATAGGTACTTTAGAAAATTTTTTAATTTGAAAACATGATTTAGCAGAAAATAACTCCCCATACAAAGAAACGCTAAGATGGTTCTTTTTGATTTCCAATGAAGTCAAAAGATTCTGCCTTCAAAGCTTAGTTATCAATAAGACTCTTTGTATAGCAATTAAATTAATAAGAGATGATTGATGACTTGATTATAGAATCTACCCATTTTTATTTTAGTGTCTAAGCTTATTTAATTTCAAGCATTTGAAAATCGAGGGAATAAGGACATGTATCTCCTAACATTTTCCACGTACACAAAAAGTTGCAATGAGGCAACAGTCCCTGTAGTTTAAGCCCAAATCACATCTTCCTTTTTAAACGTGAAAATATCTTTTATTGGTTCAGTTTTCAATGCTACTTTCTCTATATATAGGTATTCTTCTGACAGAAGTAAATAAAATATTTATTATTATATATTAAATAATATATTAATAATTAATAAATAATACTTTAAAAATATATACTTTAATATATATTTAAATATATATTAAGATATATTTAAATATATACCTTAATATATATTTAAATATATATTTAGATATATTTAAATATATTTAAATATACTTTAATATATATTTAAATATTTTTATATATTTAAATATTATAAAATATTTAAATAATACTTTTTTAATAAACTTTTTAAAATATATATATATTTAAATATACTTTAAATATATATTTAAAATATATTTAAAAATATTAAAAATATTAAAAATATAAAAAAATAAAATATATAAAAAAATTTAAAAGAATACTTTTTATTTACTTTTCCAGACTTGCAGATTAGTCAATACACTAAGCTTTATTAAATCAGGAACAATTATCACATAAAATCCTGTGTACCAAATGTTCATTCAGTACATGGCCAGCATTATATTTTGGATATATCATAGACCAGATCTATATATTTTGGGCTTAAGGCTCACTTTCTCAATGTTCTTACTCCTTTTTCAAACTGTTTCTGTAGATAATTATTTACAGATTGCAGTGCTCTTTGGTTACATAAAAAATGAAAGAGGATTTCTGGGCATTTATCTGAACATTTAAGTAAGCTGGGATTCTGAATTGATTTTTCCACTAAATTTATACTTATTACTTAAGTGTATATTTATCAGTATTCCCAGAAAGGCTAAGACATTGAAGAAATCAGAGTTGGAAGGACAAAGTCACTAGCAGAACCAGGAACACAAGTGATGAGCTTTTGATAAGCCAGGATGCTCTCTTGTAGCATTTTAAAATCCAGGGTAGACCTTGATGTTCTTACTGAATCTCATCTTACCTACTACAGTTATGGAATAAGAAATAAACTCAGTCATACATGACAGTTCATGTGTGTTTACTAAAACATTTTATTTTCGTAGTTTTCCCCAAGAATTGATCGATCTAAACTCAAGAGGAAATGAAAGTATACTGAAGAGCAGATGAGTCCAGGCAAAGCCAGGCTAACTGATTTGCATGTGGATTGGTAGATGTTAACACCATTTTATTTATTTATTTATTTATTTATTTATTTATTTATTTATTTATTTATTTATTTGTTGGAGGCACTTAGAGTAGACTTCTGTAGCTCATTTGGATTATGGATGACCTGGGCTAAAACTAATAGGGCTATATTTGCCTTTTGTTCTGTTGGCTCTGAATTACCCATCTGGAACTATAGTTATGTTCCTTTTGCATGTGGACTTTACTTTTAAATGGTACATAATATTGTCTGCTTTGTAAAATAATGCTGAGTTACTTCTGTTATTGGAATGGCAAGGTGAAAGTAAAATTCTGAGTTTCACAAATTTTGTCCTGGGTTGAAACATTATATTTGGTTTCCAATACATAGGGAGAGATGTTTAGTTCTTAATAATAATGGTCAGTCATAAGGTGTAGCATCTGACTCTGTTAATTTAAAATGACAGAATTGATTCAAGGGTATTACATCAAGAATGGAAAACAATTGTGAATAATAAGGGACACTTGATTCTTATTCCTTGGTTTTGTAGAGACTGGTAATATTGGAAGAAATGGAAATATAATAACTAATGACTATTATCTATTTTCCAAAGAAATGTGAATATGATACTGTGCAGATACGTGATTTTAGAAAGAGAGATGGGGAAGGGGAGGAAGAGACTGAGATTATTCTATTATTGTTTTCTTGTTTCTAAACCATGCATATGTATCTTGGTCTCATTTTTATACTTGTAACTTTACATTTTTATTGTTTTTAGAGCCTCCTTTGGTGAATAAACAGAAATGAAAAGGTGAAAATCAAATCAACTTTGTTACTCCTTAGTTCTTAAAAGTTCAATATTTCATTATTTAAAGAGTCCCCTATAGGCCAGTTGTGGTGGCTCATGCCTGTAATCCCAGCACTTTGGGAGGCCGAGGCAGGCGGATCACCTGAGGTCGGGAGTTCAAGACCAGCCTGACCAACATGGTGAAACCCCATCTCTACTAAAAATACAAAATGAGCCATGCGTGGTGGTGCATGCCTATAATCCCAGCTACTCAGGAGGCTGAGGCAGGAGAATCACTTGAATCCTGGAGGCAGAGGTTGCAGTGAGCCGAGATCATGCCATTGCACTCCAGCCTGGGCAACAAGAGTGAAACACAGTCTCAAAAAAAAAAAAAAAAAAAAAAAGAGTCGCCTATAAGGATTAGCTATTGTCTGTGGTTTCTAATCACCATAGCCCCAGATGAATCTTATAATCAGACATATTTGATTTGAGAAATGATGTATTACTTCTGCCTTCTTCACACAACATACTTATCTTGTTGTATATTTGTATTGTGTGTTGTTAACCTACTTTATGGCTTTATAAGCTCCCTATAGGTATAAGCACAGAAGGCATGTCAGTGTTTGCACTTTTCTGGGAAGAGAATTCACAGCTTTTGCCCTATACTAAAATAATAATAACAATAATAATTTTTTTAAAAAATCATTGTCTCAAACTAAATTAAAAATGATTAGAAAATGTGTTATATACTATTTTATATTTTAAGCAACCAAATACCAGAAACTGCATTTCTTACTAAAAGTATTTCTGCTAGCATTTGACAACTGTCCTCCCCTAAACACTGTTGCACAAATGGATTTTAAAATTGCATGAAACTGGGCCTAATTCCTCAGACCCAGTATCCCACAGTAATAAGTTAGATAGGAACTTGGGTTGCACATTTATCTCCTCAGGCAAAAGAAGGTTGTTTAATAAAATAACAGGTATTTACTTAACCATTTATTTAGCCATCTTCCTCACTTAAACTTTTATCAATTCTAAAGAAAACAGAACATAATTAATTAATTCAAATTATCTTCAAATAATTCTCAAGTAAAGAAAAAGAATGAAAATGTCCCTCCCAGTTATGGCAAGAAACAGTTAAATATCCGAAAAATCTAAAACATCCACAGTTTAGCCCCTTTATATAGGTTCATTATGCAGTGATTTTCATGTTAAAACAACTATTAATTCAAAAAGTGAAAGTGTGTGCAGAGTCTCTGTGAAAATGTGACTCTTGTCTCTAAAAATAATCTGCCGAGACCAGCTCGGTCGGGGAGACCCTAACCCAGCGGTGCTAGAGGAATTAAAGACGCACACACAGAAATATAGAGGTGTGAAGTGGGAAATCATGGGTCTCACAGCTTTCAGAGCTGAGAGCCCCGAACAGAGATTTACCCACATATTTATTAACAGCAAACCAGTCATTAGCATTGTTTATATAGATATTAAATTAACTAAAAGTATCCCTTATGGGAAACGAAGGGATGGGCCAAATTAAAGAAATACGTTGGGCTAGTTAAATGCAGCAGGAACATGCCTTTAAGGCATAAATCGCTCATGCTATTGTTTGTGGCTTAAGAATGCCTTTGAGTGGTTTTCCGCCCTGGGCGGGCCAGGTGTTCCTGGCCCTCATTCCTGTAAACCCACAACCTTCCAGTGCGGGCATTAGGGCCATTATGAACATGTTACAGTGCTGCAGAGATTTTGTTTATGGCCAGTCTTCGGGCCAGTTTATGGCCAGATTTTGGGGGGCTTGCTCCCAACATAATCCAACAAGAAAAATAAATGCATATAAAATATTAAGCAAACTAAGATTTCTTGAGTGGAAAAGATAAACAGTTATGGTTACTTTTCTATATTATTTGACTTTCCCAAAAATCAGGACCTGAAACAAGTACAAACAGAATGGAGGATCAAGAGGACGACTATTCAAAGACCGCTTCAAAATGTATCTTACCAATAAGATAAAATCACACAACTAGGTAGTGTTTTAAAAATTCACCTAGTAATGTTAGCAAAGTAATTAGCAAAGACTAGCAAAGCGTGATTACAACATTACCAATATCTTTGCATCAAAACGTGAAATATTTTAACTATAATTGGTACTTCCCGTATATAGGGAAGTATATATTTAAGTGGATTTTGATGGTTAAAGAGAAAATTTCTACCATTTAAGATGAAACTTAATATACTCATCCTATTAATTAAATACTATCAGTAATTAGTCAGGTAATAGCTATAAACAAAGTCGAGAGGTCTTTGCTGTAGATATGCAAACATAAAGTAACTGCCTTATAACTTTTGCGCCCTGTATCTGCCTTTTGTTAGCAATGTTGCCTTTCTCTTCTTTTCCTTCCTTTCCTTTCTCTTTTCTTTCCTTTCTTTTCTTTTCCTTCTTTTCCTTTCCTTTCCTTTTTTTCTCCCTTTCCTTCCCCCTTCCCCCTTCCCCACGCTTCCCCCTTCTCCCCCCGCCTCCTTCCCTCCCCTTCCCTCCCCTTCCCTCCCCTTCCCTCCCCTTCCCTCCCCTTCCCTCCCCTTCCCTCTCCTTCCCTTCCCTTCCTTCCTCTCTTTCTTTCTCTTTCTCTGTCTTTTCTAAGCTGTGTTGGCTATTTCAGAACTATTGTTTATTCCTATTGCTCTAGGACCAGAAGAGCAGGGCCCAAGACCAATGTAAAAAAGCCCCCAACCTTCTTGCCAAAATGTCTCATCCTCAGACTCACTGGATAGCTACTTATCTCCTGGGCCATTTTAATCCACCCCAAAAATCTTGTGTGACTTATGGAACTTCCTGAGGCTTTCAGAAGATATAGAACTATAGGTTTTAACTCTTACTGTGCATCAAAATCACCTGGGAGCTTTTTAAAAGTAGGGATGTCTAGGTAGCACCTCCAGAAATTTCTCATTCACTTGGTCTGTGGCAAGGCTTAAATTAATTGTTTTTAAAAGATGCTCAGGTAGCTGTAATGTGCAACAAAAGGCTAGAATCCCTCCACTAATCTATGTGTACTTCCAGCCTAACTTCACAAGGCCCCAAAATGAGAATTTTGGGGGTGCTTTCAAGGATTACAAATAATAACACCATACTTTGAATATATGAAATGGTATCAAAATAGTCTGAAAGAGTTCACCCTGTTTGTTAGCTGGGCGTAGTGACGCACACGTGTAATCCCAGCTACTTGGGAGGCTGAGGCACGAGAATAGCTTGAAACCTGGGAAGTGGAGGTTGCAGTGAGCCAAGATTGCACCGCTGCACTCTAGCCTCAGCCTGGGTGACACAGCAAGACTCTGTCTAAAAAAAACAAAAAGCAAAAAACAAAAAACCAAAAAAACAAGTTTCACCCTGTTTGCACCTGAGATTTCTAAATCCAACAAACACGTGGATTATTATTCAACAACGATCTCATTAAGGATTTAATTATCCAGGCGGCCAGGAAATGCTTGACCACATACAGTCACAGGGTCTGATCTCAACAGATGTCTTTTTTCAGCACCTGTTGGAGTCAACTTTGCCGCTAGCCCTTTCAATGGGATGGAGTTTTAATTTTCCAAAAGTAGCAAGCCAGCTGGAATGCTAGAAATGCACATTTGCTGCTTCTGTTCCATTCTAGTAAACCATCTCCCGGATCACTATGTTGATCTCTTGAGTGTGTAGTTAATGACAGATGTCTACAAACACCATTAGGATGGACTAGCAGCCTTGTTTGTAAAAGTTTATTGGAGGGAGTTGATTTCACATAATTAGCCAATAATGGAAAACAATGTTGTTTTTACCGTCTGAGAAGCCTGTCAACAATTGACTTGTTAAAAAACTAGAAATGTGATTGTAAATTGAAGAATGCAGAAAGCTTACCTAGAAAGCTGTTTCACAAATCCCCCAAGTGGAGAGTCTAAATTTGTGTTTGATGGTAATGGAATAGCTAATGTGTTACACAGCTTAATGTTAAACATACCCATGGCTGATTCTATGCAAAAGTATACATAAATAGGCTGTGTTAGTATCATTACCTCAAGTGCATTCATCATTTCTATCTATAGTGTAATACTGAATCAGGTGTTGCTGAGCTGAAGGTCACGGGTTATGCATAGCTATTGAAATACTTTATTTTTGAGACAGCTGAATTACTCCCTGACCTGACGTTAGTGAGTGGGCAGATCATCTTCATCTTTATGCCTTCCTGTCCTTTCTAAAAATAGCAGGGCCTTTGACAAGGATATATTTTAAGCAGCTCATATTCACTTGTCTCATCAGGAGAAGCTTATTTTGGCCACTTGCATGCGTCAGGTTTGCATGTGTGCATAGTTAGACTTTTGGAATAGCAGTCCATGCTTCTCCACACCACTCATATAAGAAACTTGCAAACATAAAGACACTGAGATTGCTAGCTGAGAGTATTGGCTACAAGTCAGTGGGTACACAAAAATGAAGGGAAGACACTTTTTAGGAATGTGACTATGCTTCCGAAATCATCCATTTCGGACATTTGTACATCAGTTCTCAGCTTCTCGGATCTGTTTTCATAAAACCTGGCTGTGATTTCGCTCCAGAGACCTCCGTGATCTTGCCGCTTTTAATAAATATTTATAGGAGGCACTGCCAGCCTGTGGATAAGGGAAACTGATGAGAAACTGCCATCCGAAATCTGAACGGCAAAAACAAAACCAAGCAAAACCAAAAAATCTAAAACAAAACCAAAAAAGAACAACTCAAACAATCCGTGTTCACAAGAAGACGCGTAGAAAAAGACCACCATGTAACTTTGATTTGATAACTGGATTTATCAGTCACTTGACTGGCATGCAGTGGGTACTTTGCATTTTTCTACCGTACTTTGAAACACAAGTGCAAATTTATGTTATTCTGCACAACTGGGACCAAAAAATTATGAGTGTGAGAAAACACAAACTCTAAAAGCAAGATGGAATGTAAGCAGGTAAACCCTGTTCCACAGTCATGTCATTCTGGTACAGATGTACGTGGTACTCGTGTTTGCACCTCTAAGAAATTTCCATTTTTTCACATCAAAAAATCCAGATATGAAGCTGAAGCGGCTTTCTTCGCCAACCTGAAGCTGTCTGATTTCAACATCATTGATACCCTTGGAGTTGGAGGTTTCGGACGAGTAGAACTGGTAGGTGATTGTTCTTTAAATGCTTTTGATCGCCTCTGCTTCCTTTTTAATTTTTTCCCCTAGATTAAGATTTCTTTCTTTTCTCTTGTTTTGTCTTTCATCATTAATTACCATGATTCCTAAATCAGTTCCAAATACTTTGCGGCAGACATGTCATAATTAGACACAAAGTGGGCTAAATTATGCAGTCAACGACTAAAAATAAAATAACACCTTGCTTTTTAGAAAACCTCTTCATATTAAGTGTAAGGTAAACACATTTACTTAAAGAAGAGTCATTAAGAACTTCTTACCCAACTAATTTTCTATAATCTTTATTTCCTTAGTTCTGAGTGGTGCTTACTAACAATTATGCACCCTAACAACAATTACAATAATTTAAATGTAAATATAAATACATATAAAGGGAAATCGAAGAGATATATATGAAGTAAATGGTGTTGTAGTAGCAATTCTGTGATTCTGTAGTTGCAAGTACCTATTTCTAGTCCTAACAGTTTGAATATTTTATATAGTTTATTTCACACACACTGTCTGTATACATATGTATACACATATACATACATCTATATATTCATGAAGATGATGATGACACTTTGTACAAGTTCATACATTAAATACATTGCATGAATGTGGTGTAAACAATATGAAAACGTACTCTACTTTGCATTTATTTGAAATATAAATTTTAAAACTGACATAGTGTCACAAGAATTAGAAAAAAATGTACTCTTATGACTAACTGCATTTCAAGACGGTGTGGCTATAAACCCTAATTGAGAATGCAGATTGATTTCCACCTCTCTGCTGAACATAGAGGAGTTCCTGATATCAGACACCAGTACAGTATGTGAGGAACTCCCTGAGACTGTGTACAGTGCAGTAAACAGTTACCGTTGCCATCAGGGGTCAGGAGAAATCCCCTTCCTTAAAAGTACATTGACCCAGTACTATTTTTATATTTGTCTATTTGTATTGCAGTTGGAATTTCTGACTTGAACAGGTAGAAAGATGTTATTTACTTAAATATTAGATGAGAAGGTTTTAGAGCCATATGCCTCACTGAATTGGTATTATGCTTCCCTTAACACTGGTTGGAGATACTGTAGTAATATCACCTGTGACTTGAAAGTCCATAGTGTGCCTTTGACAATATGAGTATTTTCAGTTCTGGGAGAAAAAAAAAAAAAAGTAAGGTTCTAGACAAACCTCTTGCTTTTCTGAACCCTACCAATTAATGTAGCCATGGATTTATTTTTTAAGAACTTTGGTTTTGTGGCAAATCATAATTGTCTGTATAGCTAATAAAGATTCATTAACAGCATTATACATGAACTGCTTTGATTTGGAGGTGTTGGGACATACAGGCAGGAAAGAGGACAGAGCTCCCTGCCATACAGGATTTATTTTCTGGTGTGTTTATATAGTTGCGTATTTCTAAAACAGTCTCCAAATGAAGCAGTATAAGGGACAGAATTTCTCAGAGAGTGATTGTAGGACTGTTATAGGTCCTTAAATATTATTTTTTAAAGACGAAGGACAATAAAACTACTATTTTTGTTGACAAAAAAAAAATCAGTGTTACAACTTTGTGAACTCTTAGAAGTTTGATAACTTAAATGGTGATCTTTGAAGTTACCAGTGAGATATTACATGAAATATAGGAATTTACTTAAGATTTTTGAAATACTGAAAATAACTTACAGGCACTGAAATCATTTCAAGCTAGAGAACTGAATACCAAGCTGATAGTGCAAATCTTCTAGAAGATCCTCTGAAAAGCAAATGAGGAGGTACAAACAAAATTTTGATTAGCCTCAAAATTGGGAAGAATTTAATGTGGGCATATAAAAGTTAGTTTAAAAACAAAAATTTGCATGTGTGCTCTCGTGTGTGTGCACACATGTGTATGCTCATTTCTGTGTATTCATGTGCATGTTTGAGTATATATATCATATATATACATATATATGTACATATAATCTCCATCCCCAGAGAAATACCAGATAGCCTAATTTTCCTCTCATGGATATTATATTTTACTCTTTTAGACAGATGTTTATATATAATGAACACCATAGTCCTAAGAATTAATTGAGATTGGAACTATAGCCCACTTTGCAAAAACTGTAGATATTACTGCTGAGTGATAAATTCAAAATGGATCATTGGGTACAACTTCTACATCGGGACGGAGTGCACGTCCTTAACCTTTTACGGCCACATCAGCTTTTGTTGTCTTGTACATCCACAACACACTGTAGACAATCAGAATGCCTATATTGTCTTCAGTATTCAATGTGGACCAGCCACTTAAGTGATCACTAATACCTTATTTTCCCAATTCTTGCCACTTACTAATTGCCTGATAATATTACTTTTGGGGTATTAAAATATTATCTGTGATTGTTCATCTTTTACATACATTCAATGATGCTGGAATTGGGAGTTTGGCCTCATCACTTTGCCCATAATTGTACATAACATTGTCACGGAATATAATCAATCACCATAAGGGTAACAGTGTACCATCAGAGTTAGGAGTAAGATGTAGGCAGAGACCAGTTCTTTTGTGATTACAGAAGTTTTACTCTCCTCTGAGAATGACGCATGCAAGATAATCTTGTCAATATTATAAAGTGCTATTGAAGCAATATCTAAGCAATAAATCTTCATATAAGCTAATTTCATATTTATGTACACAGTGCTCAACATGTTAATACAAAGTATATAATACTTAGTGTCTTAGTTTAGCAGTAATGTTGAGCAGGTAAATGACATTTCAAGATAATACCATAAGTTACACTTTAATTTTAAAATAGTATTTTAAAAAATTTCCCAGAAATAAGATTATAAAATTATAAACCCTCCAGTGGAGTATAAAGAATTTAGAAATTTGAATTTTTGAACTTCATTTCCTGTTAGAGTGAAGTTAAGAATGTAGTTTTCTCATCACTGTTTGACATACAGATTGTGTTTGTGTGTGAAGGTAGTTACACCCTTCACAGACTTTTTAGCATTTCTTAATTTTTATCATTCATGTCAATTTAGATAAATGTAGATGCAGAAGTATTTTTCTACAGGAGAATTTATAAATAGTTTATTATCAATTTTTGGACGTGAGTACATAATTTTGCCACATAATAAGAAACTTAAATGTGTTCAGTAAAGAGTCCAGAAGCTTAAAGTGAAGATCTTTTAGGCATAGGAATTGTAGTCTTAAGCTATTCAGTCTCTTCCTAAATACTCTCAGCATAACTGACATTCACTTGTTTAATATCAGACAGTATCCTGTTCACAACCATTTCCTCTGGGCAGTCATTTGGACTGCTTTCCTTTCTGTTTTCTGGCATGTGCCATATTTTCTGCCTATGTTCTTTATTTTTAAGAATGGTCTTTCTAATGTGTTCAGTTACTGTCTGTTTACAGTATGTCTTCCAGGAGAACACATTCCATTTATAGTATCACTTTCAGCAAAAGAACTCAGCTCTCTTTTTATATATGACTTATTAATTAAAGCTCTAAGCACTGCTGTAAGTCATCTAGGTAATCGTCTTCATTTACAAAGTATAACTGTAAAATAAGGAGGTTGTTTTACAAATTACAAGTGAAAATTAGTCCCATTGCCTTATAGTCATATTCCCAATTTACTCTACTTTTGTCCCTGCGAGAAAGGCACCTGCTTTTCAGAATAGATTTGTATGACTCAAAGACAAACTGATTTTTTAATATGCCAATAATATGTAGTCGGTGCTTTAAATATTAGATATTTAATCTGTTTATTTAGCAATCCACATATCTCCTATACCAGAGCGGCAAACTTGGATAAAGCACAGGAACAAATATAAGATAAACATAACCTCTGTCTTTTTGGATTATATTCTTTCTGCATCAGTTATTATGTATATATGTAGTGAGCTCTATGATTGAAGATAAAAAATTTAATAAATAGAATAGTTCTTAGCTCTAGAGACTCACAGTCTACTGGGAGGGGCAATCATGTAAACTAATAAACTCATAAGCAAAGCATGATCAGCAGGGGTTCAGTGTGTGGAGGAACAAGACGTCTTGCAGGAGATAGCATTTCTGAGGCAGAGGGAGAGTTAAGGCATCAACATAAGTAACCTGATGCATTATGGAACATACTTAGTAAAATGAAACTATTGAAGAAACAAATGTTTATTAATAAATATTATTTCTTTAATAAAATAACCTTTCATTTGAACCCTACTTTATAATCTTCAAATTACTTTCATGTTCATTGTATAATTTTGCCCTTATAGCTACTCTGTGAGGAGAACATGAGACATGATCCACATTTTACAGGAAAGAAGACAAGAATAATGTATTTATGTGGTTTAAGGCCACTTAGTCATTGAAAGAGCTGTTGTTATTGCCCAGAATTACTGATTTTTTAACTAGAAGCTTTTTCTGCCATTCTGGGTTTTAAAAATATTTGGATTCTTACCACCACCATCAACAACCACCCCCAAATCAAACAAGTGTTACTTCATTGTTATATGTACACCTTTGCTTTAAAAAAATTCTTCTGGAATTCAAGAACCTGAATTAGAACTAAATCTAGAATAGATGTAGTAATTGTCTGCTGTGTGCCTCTCTTTTTGTTATATCCTCAGAGGCTCCCCTTTCTCTAAATCCTTTTCTGCTCCTAGTTTAATGGCAAAATACCTGCAGAGAAAAAAAATCCGACAGTGTAACATGGTAGCTAGAAGCTAGAGCTCTAGAATTAGGCTTTCTGGATTCAGATATTACCCATTGTGTATGCTTAGTCATTTACTTAAAACTTTCTGAGCCTTGCTTTTCTTGTCTCTGAAATGATGATAATAATAGGATATGTACCTCACAAGGTTGTGAAGATTAAACGAGTTAAAGCCCTCAAAATAGTGTCTCACACATCATAGGTCAGTAAATGGTGTTAATGTTGTTATTGTTGCTATTATTATTAAAGCATGCTAATGATAGTTCTTTTTATTTATCACTTCCAGCTATAAGCATAGAAAAGGAAGGGAATGAAAGTATTTTACTCTTTTCTTTTCCATTGCTAGGCCAAGGCCTGAGAGTGCAACCATTATTCCAATATAAGTAAGAGCCAGAGGTCTTCAAATGACCTTCAGTGATAACCTCTATTAAATTTCTCCAGACCACTAAGCTCTTAACTTTCTGATCTGTCATGAGAGGAGATGGGAAACAATTTTCAATATCCCTTATGCTGAACCTGTGTGCCCCTGAAGTAGCCTGCTTTTATTCATCCATTTCACTTCTAAATTGTGAAGCCCCACCTCTTAACCTCTCAATGGGAAATCATTTTCAGTGCAAACTGCTGAATCATACCTAGTTCCTCTCCAGCCTTCTTAACCCATGGCACCTCAGTTGGGCATAATAAAGACCTGGCTCTTGGCAAGTTGAATACAAAAGTTACCTCTCATTCCTTCTCTGCTGCAGTTCAGTTTCTAAACCACATAACTGGATTGCCCAGGAAAAGAAAATGTGGTAGTCGCGAGAACCAATTTATGCTAAGACAAGGAGGTGTATTTCACAGGGTGTGTCTGTTCATGACATCCATACCACTCTCACAGCATTTTTGCCAGCTGCCTTGGCACTATAAAAACAAGCAAGCAGGCTTGGAGTGCTATGTAAACCAATTGAAAAAAAAATAGAAACTAAGAGGTGATTAAGCAAGAAGTTAGGTGATAAACCCATTGCTCAGTCAGCAGGGTCTTATTGCGAAAGGTGAGCAACTTAACTCCAAAGGGAAACCCCATGTAAGATGAAAACATTTCAAGAGCTTCCTACTGCCAAGCCGCACAGCAATGAAACAGAATAGCTATGGAGATCTTTGGGCAGTATTGCCATGTGTACCCACGGTGATTTATGCTACATCGGACACCTGGGGAAACCCTGCTGCCCTAAGGCCTTGCATCCTCTGTGACTAAAGTGAGTAAGGACTCAATACTGGTTGAAACTGAAAGTTTGCTTCATTTTAACACAGCCTCTTCTTTAGTAGTACTCTGTGGTTTATTATTAAATATGTAATTCTCATGTTATGTTTATTCTTCAAAAGAATAAAAACGGACAAAAATTATTAACTCTAATAAATAGCACTCATTTCTCAGAAAATAAGTTCTTCAGAGAACTAATGAAAATCCCATCTAATAAACACTAATTGAGCATCAGTAGGTGTAGTAACAATATACTGCAACTGCTAAAATAACCACATGACAGTTTCAATGCAGAAATTACAAGTAGTAAAGCTTATCTCTACTTTGGTATATGCAAATAAAGTAAGATAAGCATTACTTCATCTCATTATTGTAGAATAAATTTCTTTTGTACATTGATAATTATAATAAAATTTAGATTACATGAATGAAAACAAATATGTTACTTTCTAACCCATCTTGTGAAATTACAGAAATTTTATATATTAGCAATCAATTGAAATGCCTATTTTTTCTTACAAGTAGTTGAAGTTAGTATCCTACCACAAGATAAAATGTTAATAGTTTCTCCTCTAAACCTGCATATGATTTTAGAATAATCACTATAAATCTAGAATGCACTGGGCATGTCTTTCCAAAGCTTAAAATAATTGGTGATAAAACAGCTCTTACAAAAGTTGACATTTAGGTCATACTTGCCTTTTTTGTTTTCTATGACATAAATATTATTTCTTTAATCCAAGAAATATTATTTCTTTAATAAAATAACCTTTCATTTGAACCCTACTTTATAATCTTCAAATTACTTTCATGTTCATTGTATAATTTTGCCCTTATAGCTACTCTGTGAGGAGAACATGAGACATGATCCACATTTTACAGGAAAGAAGACAAGAATAATGTATATATGTGGTTTAAGGCCACTTAGTCATTGAAAGAGCTGTTGTTATTGCCCAGAATTACTGATTTTTTAACTAGAAGCTTAATAATGGGTACATCATATTAGGCAAAAATCATCTGTTTTAAAACATCCAAAATATTTGTGGGATATAAAAATATCTGACATGATTCCTGCCCTCAAGGAATTTCTGCCCCCTCCTAAGAAAGAAGATAAGATTAACATATTGGAAAAGTAGCAAACAAAATATTATGCTATTGTGTTAAATTAAAAATTATGCAGAAATGTTCTTAGTATTTCATCAGGAGAGAGGTCATTTGAAATTGATGGAATAGAAGAAGGCCTGGGAAGATATACAGAACTGAAGCCAGGCAGTGGAGAATAGGTTGGGATTTAAATGAACAGATGGGGAAAGGCCATTCTGAGAAAAGGCCATTCCAGGCAAGGGTTACAACATAAAAGGCCACATGTTGTCACAGGACACCAAAGCAAGTGACCAGACTAGAGTGAATTACTGTGGGAGGAGCAGAGAGAAATATTAGATAGCTGATCAGTAGAGTATGATTGTTTATATTCTTTAAAAAGATTAGACTTGCCAAAAAAAAAAAAAGAGTTGTTTGGACATTAAGTAATGAAAGCACATAAACACAGACTCTGCTCTGAACTTCTATCTATGACATGAAAGAATGCACTATAAGGTGACTAGACAAGCTATTTTTAGGTGGCGCTGCTCCCAGAAATAGACATCATAATTTCTCTTCTGACAAAAGTAGGTTATTTTGTACCACAGTGCAGTCTGCATTCCTGAAAATTTCATGTAAACACTTTCAAAGAGGGATTCCTTCCATGAGAGGGAAAAATAGTCCCTTTGTATGTCTTAATTATGTAGAAAATAGTCATGTCTTTTTAAATAAAATGAAATAATTTATCTTGCTTTCTGGAAAAAATATGAAACAGGTAATTCTGTATGTTTCAATATATCTCATCAATTGCATATATTTAATTTATTGCTAATTAGTACTTGGTCCCTCAGTATTCCCCATTGTCATTGACATATACAACATATTAGCTTGAACATTGAGCTATGAGGTCAGGAGCTTTTGTGGGCCAGGTAGTTTGTTCTTAGTCTCTAGCTCCAGCCCACTGCCTTTCACGTTCACACTGAGAGTGGGGAGATCATCACTACCCAAAAGAAGTTCAAATAAATAAGTTAAACAAAGGAGAGCCACTGTCTCGTCATCACTATGACCTTGGATGCCACATCTGCACAAACAAAGCAATTTAAATTTTTAATGTGACTGTTTTCCCTGAAGTAAACTGGCATAGGCAAAATCCAGTAAATTCTTATTGAACTTACTTAGCTACAGTTGATGTCCTCTTATATTTGTGAAAATCTGAAACACAAGATAAATGTGAAATACAAGAATCGTATGGGGGAAGAAGTTATCTTTTTCTTTTTCTTTTTTCCTTAATTTACTTTTATCTGAAAATGTCTTTATTTTGCCTTATCATTGAAAGAGGCATTGAATCTTTCAATGGTTGGCAGGTTCTCCTCTACATCCTTCCAACCCCATCCTCCCCACCCTCATTCCCATTCCCCCAGCCCTGTCTCCCAGCACTTTTTCAGTATTTTAAAAAATATTTTAAATTGTAATAGCTTTAGGGGGTACAAATGGTTTTCGGCTACATGGATGAATTGTATCGTTAGCCTTTTTGTAACATCAGAAGGACAAAGTTTGAGGATAGCATGTAATAAGACATTAAGATCTGATTATAAGCCATTTTATTAAAGTTTTCCAGTATGTAACAGTTTAAAAAATTATAAAGTCATTCATCCCTATATTTCAAAAGTATAACTGCAATGCAAAACCTTTCATGAGTTAATTGGGCCACATGTCAGAAAGAGAGTTGAATTTCACAGTATGTGATCCTCTGTTTCATTTCAACTCATTTTAGATTTTCAGAGTCAATAAATGAAAGGAATTGAAATATAAATATTCAACTTCACCTACGTGGTTATATGTGTGCTTTAAGTATTAGAATAAATTGAATCTATGTGAGCTATTCATGTGCTCAATTTAAAATATGTAAACAAGTTTTCAAAACTGATACACATAGTATTTCCTTATACAAGGGAGATTATGCATAGAAATTAAAGTATTGGGTAGAGGATGAAAAATATTTGATTAGTTGGTGAAAAAAATAAAGTGTATTATAGGTAATAAAATTCTGTAAATACCATTTTTAATAATCACTGCAAAATGAAGTAAAGTTTATTTAGCATAAAAGCAGTAGGAAATAAATGTTATGTTTAAGGAATGAGAAGACACTCAAAGTAGGTAGCCTTTTGAATGAAAATGAATGAATAAACTAATTCCTTAATAAGGGAAATTATAAATGTTCTTTGATTTGCAAGTAACTTCTAGAAAATTGTCCAACCCTTTGTTCACAGTATAATTAAAAATAAGAAATTATAAATATTCTTTGATTTGCAAGTAACTTCTAGAAAATTGTCCAACCCTTTGTTCACAGTATAATTAAAAATAAGAAAGTATTAGGTTCTTTTTCTGACTTTCCTCCAAACTGAAAGTTAAATGTCTCTAAAAAATAGAAAAAAAAAACCTTATCTCCTCTTCAAAAATACCTTTGTCTTTTGATAAATTTAAACTTAATAAGATAGATATTTCCTGATATTTCTGGCCACCAGCTGTAGAACTGATTTTAAGTCTGAAGGTAAGTTACAAAGCAAATAAGATTACTGATATTTTGATGAAGGGTTAAGGTAAACGAAGAAAGAAAAACAAGGATGAGAAGAAGAGAGACCCTCTCTTGATTATCTTTCCATTGTGCAAATGGCAGATGGATTCAAATGAAAAGGCATATATATATAATAAGCTACTTTTCTATCCTCCTTTCTTTTCAAAATGTTATACCTGACTCTGTGTGTGTGTGAGTGTGTGTGTGTGTAGGTGTTGGGGGGGCCTGTCTATGAATAGGAACTTTGATGCATAAAGCCTTTACCATGAAGTTGAGTCACCACTACAGCAGTGCTGTGCCTCTGTGCCTCATTCAAACATGTGTCACTCAGGCTGTGACGAGTTCCTTTTATTCTTCTCTCTTGTGTATCCTATGAAACAAGGCAAATGCTATGGTTCATTCTTAAATTTCAGACATTGGCCAAGGAGAAAAATAAATCATATGATGTTATTGTGCAGAGAAAAGTGAAGGAAGTAGAGAAGTTATTGTGATCTCTGGTTAAGTTAATAATAGAATTAGTATTTTTTGTTATTGTTGTTGTTAAGAAATGTATATAATCCAACATTGATGTGAATCCAACACTGATTTGTAGGATAGAAGCTTTCTGTTCACTTAAAGCATTTCATTTCCTTTTAAGAATGTAGTAAGCTGGCTTCTCCTGAACAAGTGGGCACTTTAGTTGGCCATGTCCAAAAAGTTATTTGAGTTGGAGTAATAAAATTGCTTTTTCTTTCGCCATGAAAGTAAAACTTCCTTAAATTTAAACAGGTAGATTTGTCCTAGTCCTGTATTCATTCAGTTGATTGGGACTACTAACTTAAAAACAGATTTAATTATCAGTTGTAATAGTAAAATATCATATCTTGGAAATCATAGTAGTAATGATCATTCTTATATAACACTTCTTAATTTATAAATAATTTTCACATACACTATCTGATTTTAACTTACAATATCTGTTTCTATAATATGAAGCTGGTTTTTTTTGTTTGTTTGTTCTTTGTTTTTGAGATAGAGTCTTGCTCTGTTGCCCAGGCTGGAGTACAGTGGTACAATCTTGGCTCACTGCAACCTCTGCCTCCTGAGTTCAAGCAATTCTCCTGCCTCAGCCTCCTGAGTAGCTGGATTACAGGTGCCCACTGCCATGCCTGGCTAATTTTTATATTTTTGGTAGAGATGAAGTTTCACCATGTTGGCCAGGCTGGTCTTGAACTCCTGACCTCAAATGATCTGCCCATCTCGGCCTCCCAAAGTGCTGGGATTACAGGCATGAGCCACCGCACTTGGTCTGGTTTTATTCTCATAAGTAAGGAAAATAAGGCTTTAGGATGTCATATGGACTTGCATACAACCACAGTTGGTTTATTATTACAATATTTTAACCTTCCAATCCCCAGCATCCATGGGGGATTGGTTCTAGGACCTGTCCTCACCAATACCTCTTCCTGCTGTGGATATCAAAATTTACAGATGCTTAAGTCCCTAATATAATATGGCATAGTATTTGCATATACACACATTCTCTCCTATATTTTAAATCATCTCTAGTTTATTTACAGTACCTAATACAATGCAAATGTTATGTAAGTAGCTGTTATACTGTATTGTTTAGGGAATAATGACAAGAAAAATGTCTATATATGTTCACCTCAAACACAACCATCCATTTTTGTTTTCCGAGTATTTTCAATCCTTGGTTGTTTGAATGTGGATGCAGAACCTACAGATGCAGAAAGCTGACTGTACCTATTATTTTGACAAGATAAGTTTTAAAGAACTTTGTGTTAATTATGTACATTTTGTTTAAATTTATTCATGATCCTAATTTTTTAAAAAATAAGACTTTTAAATTTAGGTTTTTCAATAAACAAGTAGTAAAGTCATTAAAAATGACTTTTTAAAAATGTGTCAATATTTAACAGAAATTAGAGTTTAAAAATCTAGTTTGTGGCTAACTGGGGAACTTTTATTGTAAGTGAGATAGTAAGCACAGAGAAATACATTTTTGACATTAAATTCTTTAAAATGTAAATGAAACATGTAGCTACCTGACAAATCAATACAGAACTAGAAGTTGTAGATTCAAGGAATTACAAGTTCTCTCTCTTTTTAAAAATTCTTTAACAACTTCATTGAGGTATAAT
The DNA here is from genome assembly GCF_000001405.40 of Homo sapiens. Classification (NCBI taxonomy): domain Eukaryota; kingdom Metazoa; phylum Chordata; class Mammalia; order Primates; family Hominidae; genus Homo; species Homo sapiens. The sequence goes on from NC_000010.11 coordinate 52,263,426, forward strand.
TTACATACCATAAAACTTTCCCATTTTAAGGGTATAATTCAGTGATTTTTAGAATTGTATGACCATCATATAACCCAGCTTTAGAACATTCCTACCACTGCAATAAGAACCCTTGTGCCCATTTAGAAATACTCTCCATTCCAATCTCCAGGATTTTTTTTTTTTTTTTGAGACAGGGTCTTGCTCTGTCACCCAGGCCGGAGTGCAGTGGCATGATCTTGGCTCACTGCAGCTTGAGCTTAGAGGCTCAAGCAATCTCCCACCTCATCCTCCCAAGTAGCTGGGACTAGAGGCATCCACCACCATGCCCGACTAATTTTTGTATTTTTTGTAGAGACATGGCCATGTTGCCCATGGCTGGTCTCCAACTTGTGAGCTCAAGTGATGGGCTCACCTCAGCCTCCCAAAGTGCTGGCATTACAGGTGTAAACCACCATACCTGGCCTGTCATCTACTTTCTATCTCTCAAGATTTACCTTTTCTGGTACAGATATTCAAATGCTAAAATTTTGTGTTACACTAAATATTTTTATTTTCTACATGTATGATCTAGTTCAATAATCTAAATACCCAGTTATTTAATGTATAGTAACTTCATGTCTTTTTTCCTGTTGAATTTTAGGGCAGTTTTATGGCTTCTGTATACCCTGCTTCAGCTTTGTTATTATACTCCACTGCTGCAGAACAGGATGTCTACATTGCTTTCTGAACGTAGAATCTAAGGCCAGTGTCCTACAGGGCTGTGAAGAGCTTTCTGGCAACGGGAATATTGGGAAATGATGGAGGTGGAACATAGTGCTTATGCATTTATAGGGAGTCTAGTGGTTTGTTTACTGATGTTCTTATTGTTGATGTTTTATTATAGGCCTTTGGCTGATTTTG